>NC_000012.12:115944976-116096491 GCF_000001405.40 Homo sapiens
GGTCAGGAATACAGATGAGGAAAGAGCCGATCTGGCCTCAGCTCAGAAGCCTTCACAAGCTACAGAGGCCTTACCAGAGAAATCTCCCTGCTTGCTCAGTTTTGCAACCGGCTCTGGAACAAGTGACCTGTCAGGCTTCTATGCCTAGGACTTGAAGGGACGTGGAGGCTTCTTTACTTGGAAGCTGATAGCGTTTGGCTGTGTCGCCACCCAAATCTCATCTTGAATTGTGGCTCCCATAATCCCCATACTTCATACGTGGGACCCGGTGGGAGGTAATTGAATCACGGGGGCGGGTCTTTCCGGTGCTGTTCTTGCGATAGTGAGTAAGTCTCACGAGATCTGATGGTTTTATAAAGGGGGTTCCCCTGCACACTTGCACGCTCTTGCCGTGACTTTGCTCCTCGTTTGCCTTCCGCCATGATTGTGAGGCCTCCCCAGCCACGTGGAACTGTGAGTCCACTAAGCTTCTCCCCTTGATAAATTACCCAGCCTCGGGTATGTCTTTATTAGCAGCGTGAGAACAGACTAATACAGAAGGGAAGAAGGCAAGAATATCTCTCCAGCAACCCAATTAAAAATCTCAGGACAGTTCAGGCCCCTGGAGGCTTTTACTTGAGTCAAATCCTCAGGAAGGCCAGCACTGCTCCTGTAAATCACTGTCTTCCTCCTGGGATGGAAAGGGACCAGGAAGCCAGAGTGCCCAGCGTGCCAGGGTTTCACTGCCAGATGTCTAGAAGGCCACATCCAACCGAGATGCCCAATTCCAAAAACGTCCACAAGTCAGGAGGTAGAGTGGGGCAGATGTGTGGGGCTGGCCCAGGACGGGGATGTTTGTTTTTGTTTGGGGGCCTGTAGGCCTGGGAGCTATTAACAAATGCCTATTAATCTTCCTGTTGGTTTCAGGGGGCAAAATTAGAGCCAGAAATGAGTCTGGAGCTACATGGACCTAGGAAGAATATTTAGAAGCCCTGCCCTCATGAACTGGGAAGGAAGAAAAGACACCTTCCCCCACAACGCCACAGGAGCTATCAAATGTGCTCTTTTTAAAGTCATTTCTATTCTTTAAAAAAATGCACCATTGTGGTGCAGCCACTGTGAAAAGCAGCATGGCGCTTCCTCAAACAATTAAAAACAGAATTACTCTGTGATCTAACAATTCCAAAATGTGTACGGCCATGTCCATTTTAGCATTAGTCACGATACCCAAAAGGTGGAGGCAAGCCAGTGTCCACTGAAGCCTGAAGGGATCAACAAAATCTGGTATATACATGCAATGGAGTGTGGTTCCACCTAGAAAAGGAGGGAAATTCTGGCACCTGCTACACAGGGGTGAACTCGAAGACATTATGCCAAGTGAAATAAGCTGGTCACAAAAGGACAAATACTGCGTGATTCCATTCATAGGAGGTGCCTAGAGGAGTCAAGATCACAGAGACAGAAAGAATAGTGGTGTCAGCGACTGGGGAGTTAGCGTTTGATGGGCACAGGGTTTGTTTTGCAAGAGGAAGAGGTTCTGGAGATTGTTTGCACGGCACTGTGGAGCTGCTCAACCCTACTGAGTTGTACACTTAAAAGTGGTTAAGATGGTACATTTCACATTATGTGTATTTTTACCACAATTGAATTATTTTTTAAATGCACCCATTTTAAATGGATAATTCCCTGTGCTTTGACAAATATAACACCACCAACTAAAACAGAGATGTTCCTCTCACTCTACTAAGTTCCCTCATGCCCTTTTGCAGTCTGTATTATTTCTAAACATCCTATTGGATTAAAATTTAATTAAGTAGAAATGATATCTCCAATGCCCTGGGTCTGCTCCAAGCCTAAAATCTCTGAGGCTACCAGGAGCCATTTCACATGCAGGTCCCCTTCTGCCCGGGGCCCACGGGCCTTTCCCGAGGTGTCTGTGGGGGTTTACAGGGGCAGGGAGGCACCATAGGAAGGATATTTGCTTTGGCTTCTTCAAGTCTAATGAACGCCAAGGTATTGAATGTAACAACATTAAAGCTTCTCCTCCTCACACACATACACGTGCACACACACATGCACATGTGTGCATACACACGTGCGCGCAGACCCCCCACCCCCCAGCAGCTACCAGCCTCTTAGCTCAGTCTTCTATGCACTATAAATTTGCCAAGCCAGATTGCTCTTCTCAGCCACCCCTACACCTGGCACCTATGCCCAACCGGGAATCTGTCCCCTGGGGCTCTTCACCTAAACGAGGGCTGCCCTGGGAGAGTGGACTCAGACCAGCCCCCCAGGGCCTTGGCCCCCTGCTTTCAAATCCCTTGACTTTTGCCCATTAAGATTTGTCAGTGAACATCGTCCCCTGGTGGAAAATCTAGGACATAACAAATATGTATCTGAGCTTCTGCGGTATTTCCTAGAATTTATTCATTCCAAAATATTTGCGAGGGAAATAACTTTTCGGTGGAGAAATCCAGAAGACGCAGCCTTAACCAAGGGTTCAAGGTTAATGTCATCTGTAAGATGATACGATGACATCTCGAACCCTCCCAACACTAATGCATTGGGAAGGACGTTGTCACTTCCATGGTGTTCTTGTCCCAAGATGCATAACCACAATTTCACCACTAGAAAATATCAGACTAACCCAAGTTGAGAGACCAAATAACTACAAAATAACTGACCAGTCGGTTTTGGGCTGTTCACCCAAACGAGAGCTCAAACAAGAACAGTTCTGTCAAAGTCACAAAGCAATAAGGAAAGACGGAGGATTGGTCACAGATCAGAGGAGACGAAGGAGACGTGATGAGTGAACGCCATGTGGGGTCCCAGATTGGACCCTGGATCAGGAAAACGACCTCATGGGAAAACGTGCAATCTGAGCAAAGGCTGAGGTCGAGTTTACGGTGATGCACAAATGTCCATTTCTTAGTCCTCATTCTTGTCCTGTGACGATGCAAGATGTCAACACCAGGGGGAGACGAGTGAAGGGTATACAGGAATCTCTGTGCTGCCTTTGTAACTTTTCTGTAAGTGCAAAATTATTTCAAAATAAAACGTTTTTAAAAGTTGCAGGCCTTTTTCCAAATATGGAAGGCCCCGGTCTACATGCTGGGAATACAGTTCCTGCTGTATGGAACCTGCATTCTAGTAGGAGAGATGGCACACAAACAGACCAAGTAGGTGTGTCTGCATTGAGTAACAACCCCTACAAAGCAAAGTGAGGGAGTGCCAGGGGCTGGGGGAGGCTGGGGGCTGGGGGCTGGAAGAGAGTGGGTCAGGGACCAGCTCTCTGTGGAGATGACTCTGGAGTAGGAACCTGAGTAAGGGAGGGTAGCCCCCGCCCCCAACTCAATTCATTCATGAATTCAACAGCTACTATTTGAGAGTCTGCTGCATGCCAGGCACCTGGGGATACAGCAGTGAGCAACACGGACTCAAATCCCTAGTGATGTCCTAGGGATGCTCACATTCTAGGAGGGAAGAGAAAGAAAACGAGTCACTAAGGAACACAGTGTGTTCCATTGGGGAGGAGCTGGCAGCACAGGGGGGTGCCTGTGCTTTTCAAACAGTGCGTGCCATTAACAACAGGCCTTACAGAGCAAGTGACAGGGAATGCAGGCCTGGAAGAGGGGGCAGATTGAGAAATTCTGGTGAAGGGAACAGGATGTGCAAAGGCCGAGAGGTGGGAGCATGTTTGGCAAACTCAGGGATGCCAGTGTAGCTGCAATGTGGCACAAAAAGGGGCAAAGGGGGCCAGATATGCCAGGCCTTGTGGACTGCAGTTTGGATTTTATTTCCGCCCTCTGGAGGATTCTGGGTAGACGAAGGACAGAGTGGCTCCATCCTTTGTTCGAGACCAGTGAGCAGATGCTGGCTGGAGGATGGACTGCACTGGGTGTGGGTGGCGAGACGTCGCCTGCTGCAGCTGGGTGACAGAGCACTGGCCCCAGGACAGTGGTAACAGCGGACGTGGTATAAAGAAATTCAGATTCTAGGTTCGTTTTGAAGGTGGGGCTCACAAGGTTGAAACAAATGGATCAGATGCAGAGAGTGACGAAGAAATCAGTTCGGAGTCTCCCCAAGGTTTTTGGTTGGAACCCAACATCTGGAAGAAGAGAGGACTGCAGAGGGTGATGTAGATAAAGGGCAAAAATCGAGTACTGCATTTCATGTACGTTTCAAATGCCTATTTGCCAAATATGTAAAGGGGTAAAATGAGCCTTCCATAACTCTTCTGGGAAAAAACAAGAACGGACATGTATTGAGTGTCTACTGCAGGCAGTAGACACTCAATGCCTGTCCCATCCATGCGGGGATCACTGCATTTCTCTCTGCAGTAGGTGAAGGCAGTGCTGTGAGCATCACATGTTACAGGCAAGGAAAGAGACACAGAGAAGGCCCATGGAGAGCAAGCCACGGCAGAGCCAGGACATCGATAGCACATCCTGGCTCTAAACCACGTATTTTTGAAATGTTAGGGAGGGAACTTGGAGAAAACAGATCTTGTCTTGGAAGTGTAGAAGGTTCCAGAAAAACGACCAGGTAGGATGGTAGGAAGGAACTCATCTCTCCAAGGTTCAGGGCATGCAGCTATTCCACTTGACCATTCGGTCTGTTGAATGTCTCCTCTGTACCAGGCAGGAAGGGGCCGTGGGAGAAGAGTCCACTGATAACACAGTGTTGTCGGTGCCCTGATGGGGCATCAGCTACTCTGGGAGTCCCGGGAGGGACAGAGGGGCCAGCCCAAAGCTAGAGATGGCTGCGCAGAGGCAGCAAAGACCAGAGAGTTTGGGCTTTATCAGCACCAAGACTGGGGTGAGAAGTGCCTCAAGCAGAGACGGCTTTCTAGGTGTGAGCCGCATGCAAAGTGGAGCTTTAGTCAACGAAGCGGAAACAAGGACTGCAAGACTTGAGGGTTTCCAAGGCTCCTGTGAGAGGAGCTCCCTCTCCTGTTGATTTCTGTTGCTCCTCTCAGTAACTCAAACTCAGGTGGAAGTCACAGCATGCTGGACCTAGTTCTGTCCCTGTCCCGCACTGTGTTGCCTTGGGAGACCAGCCTAAGAAGCTTGCTCAAGACCAGATCATGGTGAACCTCGTTGGGTTCCCTGCCTAGGAAGTTGGACTTCACTAACACCAGTAATAGCTTGGAGATTGGATTGAAAGAGGCAGGTTGCAGACAGGATGGCATGCAAGGAGGCCACCGTTGAGATCTGGGTAAGAGGTGAGGGGAAGGAATTGTGGGGGGGGACATAGGACATGGTATCCGGCAGGTCTTGGTGATGGAGGAGTCGTGATCTAGATGCCTTCATTGTTTCTGCCTGGGGCAACTGGAGACCTGCAAGAATCGTTCGGGTCCTGGATCTATAAGGCCCTAGACAGAACCCAAATCCATGCCTACCTGAGATGATCTGGCAGGCAGTGAATGTGCTTGGCACTGTAAACCAGTTCCCCCACCCTCCATCTTGGTTTCTAAATGGTGTCTGAAGAATATTCTGGGCAAAAGGCACTCTGTAAGGACAGGGTTTAGCCGGAGTTGGAAGCAGGTAAATTGGTCTCTGCTCTTTCCCATGTGCCATCTCCCACCTTCCTTGGCTACAGGCTCTCCTTTGGCCTCATGCTCTGCAAGATCCTTTTGCCATCCTCCTCGAAGATGTGAGATCTTCCCTCTTGTAGCTAAGCCCGAGAGGCTACCTCGACACACTGTTCCGAGCTACAGGGAGAGGCCCAGAAGAGGTCTTTTTCCAGCTGTACAATCAGGACACTCACTCGGGGCGTCTGATTCTGTGTCCTCATAGTGGTGTGGAGGGAACAGCAGGACTGAGAACTGCGCTCTCCATCCCCATCCTGGGGCAGGGAAGGTGTATTAGTCCATTCTTACGCTGCTATGAAGAAATACCTGAGACTGGATAATTTATAAAGGAGAGGTCTAATTAACTCACAGTTCCACGTGGCTGGGGAGGCCTCAGGAAACTCACAATCATGGCAGAAGGCACCTCTTCACAGCGCGGCAGGCCAGAGAATGGGTATCCAGCGAAGGAGGAAGCCCCTTATAAAACCATCAGATCTCGTGAGAAATAACTCACTATCACAAGAACAGGATGGGGGAAACCACCCCCATGCTCCGATTATCTCCACCTGATCCCTCCCACAACAAGTGGAGATTATGGGAACTACGATTATGATGAGATTTGGGTGGGGACACAGCCAAACCTTATCAGAAGGAAAAGCTCATAACGGTGCAGAGAGGTGGGTACCACTGTAAATTCATAGTCTCAGGCCCGCTCATTGTTCTCCTCGGTTCTCATCCCTGATCTGCACCAAGGCTACTGCACATCCTGAGACCCACCCACCACTTCCATTTAACACTCCTTGGCATCCTCCTTCACAAGGAAAGGAACAAAGCCATCAACCAAGGCTCTCTCTCCATCAAGCTTCCGGGTCCCTCCTCCTTGGACCCATCTGTCACTCACGTCCTTCCCTGTTCTGGCACTGACGTGTGCTCCAGGCCTCAGCAAATTAAAAAGCAAACCAATCAGCCCCCCTGACACCTCCATGTCCTACTCTGGCTACCTGCTTTCTCTCTGCTTTGTTCCTGCATGCACTGCAGTCTGGCCTCTGCCCCGTCCTCCCCGCTGAAATCATTCTCAGCAAGGTCACCAGTGGCTGCCTTGTTCCCATAGCCATTTTGAGGACAGCTGTCTAACTGCTGAGGCCAGAAACCTCCCGCGTCCACAACCCACTTCTGAAACCGCACACCCTACTTGGTCAATAACCACTTTCTGTTGATTGTTTTTCAATAGCCCTCTCTCCCTCTTCACTATCCATACCAGGGTGTGGCCCACCATTATTCTAGCTTCCATTTTTACCCCCTTCCGATAGCCATAATAGTTGTTTTTTTTTCTTTCTTTCTTTTTTCTTTTTTTGAGACAGGCTCTCACTCTGTTTCCCAGGCTGGAGTGCAGTGGCACAATCTTGGCTCACTGCAACCTCCACCTCTCAGGTTCAAGTGATTCTCGTGCCTCAGCCAAGAAGCTGGGACTACAGGCACCTGCCACCACGCCCTGCTAATTTTTGTATTTTTGGGTAGACACGAGGTTTCACCATGTTGGCCAGGCTGGTCTTGAACTTCTGACCTCAGGTGATCTACCTGCCTTGGCCTCCCAAAGTGCTGGGATTACAGGTGTGAACCACCTCCCCCAGCCATGATAGTTCTTCTAAAGGTCAATCTGATCATTAACTTGCTTAAAATGCCTTCGTGAGTCCTCATTTCTCTCAGACGTGTCGGGCTGACCTGCAGGGGGCTCCTGTGGCCTCACGTTTCTGCATATGCTGTATCCTCCACCTGGAACACACCCCACCTCTGACAGCTGCCTCCTATTGGCTCTGCGGAGCTTCTGAAAATACCACTTTTCCAGAAAGCTTTTCCCAGAGTGTAAGCACTCTGTCTTCACCCTATCCCAGATCCCCCACTAGGCTGCACCTGCTCTCACTAGACTATGCGCTGCCCCAGGCCAGGGATGATGCCTGCCTTATTTCTTGTGGTTCCCCCATGCCTGGTTCCAGAGAAGATCCGATGACTTTTAGAATGGAGAATCTGAGAATGACAAAACATGGGGATGAGGGGAGAAGAGAGAGAGATATTCAAGATGACACAGACTTCAGGGTTGATGAGCAGGAGGAGAAGAAGAGTTTGAAGGAAGAGGTTCAGGGCTATGTCTGGAGTGACCCTGAGCTTCCAGGTCGAGGCATCTTGTGGGAAGATGGAGATACTGAATCTACAGCTACAGACGTGGGAGTCATGGGGGAAGGGCTGATTGTCTCTGGAAACTATAGAAGGGCCATGCTGAATTTTAACACAATAATGGCAGCCGGATGTCCTGTCTGCTTTACCACCTGCCTGCCTATCCACACTGTCCTAGCAGAAGTTAAGCTGACTTGGACAGATGTTTCTCGAAGTGTGGGCCACCAGTTCCTGGATCCAAGTCGCCTGGGGAGGGAGGGAATTAAATGCAGATCTGTGGGCCCTGCCCCCCACCAACTGGATCAGGATCTGGGGTAGCCTGGGAATCTGAACACTAACCAGCTCCCGGAGATCAAGGATTGAGACTTTGCCAAGACAGATGCAGAATAAGCAATGGGTGAGGAATTAAAGGTGTCAGCAAGACAGTAGCCGAAATGGATGGCTTGGTTATGCTGACAGACTGGACATGGGAGGTGCGTGTGTCCTGTCATAGCAACAGGCTGCTGGGGACATCCCAGAGGACCCGTAGGGCTCACACATCGCCCATTGCTCGCATAGCTTTAGAGGACAGTCCCTTGTGTCATAGATGCTGACCTCCTAGACTGATTTCCACCTTAAAGATAGGACTACAGTCGGGGGTTCATGTATCTCTTTATCCCCTAGCTTGGGGCCTGGCACCTTAGGGGCACATATCCTGTTAACAGAATCATCAAATTCCTTCTGCAAACATGTTACATTTATGTGTAACAGCAGCTGGGAGTGCCTAACGGTAAGACAGTCCCTGAGTAACATTGACTTCCACATTTGTTGGGGAAGAAGCCTGTGACTAAGGGAGTTGCCTAAAACTGAAGGGCAGTGTCCAAGGAAAAGGATGAAATAATTTGGCTCTGACTAGCAGGTGTTACCCTGTGGCCTAGGAAATGAACCCCACACAGTTTGAGTTCACATCCATTAAATCCCGAGAGAATGAGAACGGGGTTGGAACGGGTGGATCCAAGGTGCTGTTTTTATTAGAATGGAATCTACGGAATGAGAGGAGCATGGTGGATGTCTGTGGACTGTGTAAAGGTCATCACTGATGGAATTAGGTAATGGAGGTTTCTTTCCAAAACACGTTAAAAAAAAAAAGGCAAATGGCAGAGTCCATACACAAAAAAGGCAAAACTGAAGAGTTAAAGGAAGCAAATAAATCTGTATGTGTATTTATAAAAATTGGCTGACAAGTCAAAGTATAACATGAAACAGGAAATGCAAAGGCAAAAATTACCCTATTCAAATAAAAATAGTATTGTTCTCTTAAGAAATAAAATACAAGAGTTTGTATGAAGTACACCTGACACAAAATGACAAAGGTTGAAAATAAGTGGTGGGCCAAAGATATAACACTGGAATTCTAATCAAAGGAAAGAGGGGCGGTATTAAAAGGATAATTTAAAGCAAAGAGCATTATGCAGAACAAAGGGTGATTATACAGAGATAAATTATATAATACATAAACATCATTAAACCTTTATGCACCAGTAAGGAAGTACAAAGGAAGACCAAACTTCCAGCAGGAAATTTTAACTCCTACTGCCTGCCTGGGACAGAGGTTGAGGTCCGAATGGGGTGTAGAAAACAAACAAAAACAATATACTCAAGACACAATTAGTTGCTACCAAATCTTACACCCCAGCTGTACTGGCCCATAGGATCACCACTACTCCATGTGGCTGTTGATCATTTTGAAATACGGTGAGTGTGACTGAGAAACTAATCTTTTAATTTTATTAAGTCTAATTAATTTAAATTTAATTTAAAAACGGAAGCAGTGCATTTTTTCTGCTAAATCCCTTTTTTTTTGATAGAACTACATTTTTCCTCAACTATTGAAAATTTAGCATCCAAATGTAGACGTGCTGTAAATGTTAACTACATACAGATTTCAAAGACTTACTGCAAAAATAAGAATGCTACATAGTTCACTGATAATTTTCATATTGATTTTAGGTTGACATGGAATAAGAATTTGGATATATTTGGTTAAATAAAATATATTAAAATTAATTTCACCTGTTTATTTTTACTTTTTAAATGTGGCTTCTAGAAAATATTAAATTACATGTATGGTTCACATTCTATTTATATTAGGCAACACTGCCCATGAAATAGGACACACCTTGTTTTGAAGATTTCAGAGAATGCAAGATTATGTTGTAGCATAGGAGAATATTACAGCGTGAGAGACTTTAAGAGAATTTTCCTTAACAAAAACGGATCAAAAAAGAAATAAAGAACCAAGAGTATAAAAATAAAAATGAAAACATTAAGCATCAAGACTTGTAGGATGTAATCAACTTAAATCTAGTGCCAGATTTCATCCCTTTTAGCGTTTGACATCTCAAACGATAAAAGCAATTTTATCCCTTTTAGGGTTTGACATCTCTGAGAATCTGATACAAAGACTGTCTCCCTAAAAAAAAATGCACATGAAGAATTCTGCATATAATTTGAGGAGGGCCAACACATCCAGAAGCCCCCAGGCTATAATGCCTATATCATCAAAAGTGAAAATAAATTAACTAAGCAGGCAATTAAAATTCAAGCAAAATGAAACATAACTCTCAAGGAAACTAGGAAAAAGAATAAGAAGACAAAGCCAAGGTACAAACAGCAGAATTGTTAAGTCCATGAGCTGTTTCTTTGGAAAAATCAAACAAAAACTAAAAAAAAAAAATCAAACTGCTAGAAAAATCAATCGAGGTGGAATAAAAGCATTAATATTGCTAGAAATGGAAAAGAGCATACATCACCAAAAAGTTTCAAAATTAAGGGGGTATTCTGCACCATTGCATTAAGTAATACATTTGAAAAACTCATTTTTTTCCTGTAAAAATCTAAATTAACAAAATCAACAAAAGAAATGGAAACCCCAAATCAACCAAAAACGAAAAAAAAAAAAATTCCTGTTTTGTAAACCGCTTCCCCAAAAGGCATCAGGATCTGATGAATTTACTGGTAAATTATTTCAGATTTTTGAGGTGCAACTAATTCTACTCTTTCAACAGTATCAGTATTTGACAAACATTTCGTGAGTGCCTACTTCAGTCCTTTATTCAGTCTCAGCCCAATAGAAAGTTGGTGTCATGAAAGATAAACTCTTTGGGCTCACGGAAAATGACGGGGAAGTTCATTGGTTCATCTTATCAAGCAAACGTGATCTTGACCCCTAGACCTAAGAGAGAAAACCTCCTAAGCTTTGCAGTAATACAAGAAATAGCAACAACAAAAAACACTGGTGTATGTATAATTACAGAAACTGTGTCTCCTCTACAATTAAAAAAAAAATCACATACTTCAAAGGAAGCAGACAGGAAATTATATATGTAAATAATGTATCGAAATTAATAAGAACATCAAGACCTCTAAGTGAACAAACTAAGATTTATGAGAAGCTAACGTGAAAATGCTTACTGAAAAACGTTATAGCCTAAATTAAGACAATTACTATTTTACATGTTAAATTATTTAAATTGACATTCCCCCACAACGAATACTTCCTCGTATTAGATATTTTTTTTCCCAGAGCTTCTGTTCTAAGCTCTGGGGTGGCCCATTTTACTGAATATTGTCTAGTCTTATAAAACAAGTAGATTGAAACATGCCTCACCCAACAGCAAGGCAAAAGAGGTATACACTAGGCAGCAGGAGCCAGAGAAATGCTCAGAGATGCTGCCAATTTCAACGTGTCTGCATGCTGTGATCACTGGGTGAATTTCAAGCACACTCCAGGACAGACATGGTTTGACCCATATGGGTAACAGCCCAGACAAGTGCCATGTTAGCAGATTATTAAAACTGAACCTGTGCTTTCCTCACTTCCCTGCTTGTTTGAAAGAAAACAAAGAAAAAGTGGGACTAACAGGAATGTCTGTCTTCGGGTCTTCCCATCACCTGGGAACTTGAATTCATTGAGGAAATAGCCTTTACAGAGAAAAATCAATACTTTGGTTATGTCCAACCTTCTTCCTGGAGATTAAACTTTCTCATCAACTTCTATTTCTTAACTGCTTCATGATTTAGCGTTCTAGCTAGAAGCAGTTAAGTGTCAAAAAATCTTTTTTAAACGTGACCCTGGAATTGTAAGCAAAGTGGAGGAAGACTGGTAAATCTGGTTCCAGGCAGAGCAGGATGCCCAGGGCAAACATTACAACCCTCTATAATTACCTGGCACAACAGAATTTTCTAGTGGTGTCTCATTAGGTATTAATGACATGAAATAATTACTGCTAAAGTGACCTTTTTGTCAAGGGAATATAAACAAGAGAATCGTTTAACACCAAAATAACACGGTAATAAGTGAAAATTGCATCTTGATAGGATTTGGGCGTGCGGTGAATTCCAAAGCACGATTTCCTTTTTATACTGGCTTGACTGTAAATGACAAGCGGCAAAGACTGTTTTCAATATGTGGCTTATGCTTCTGCAGTATGTCTTACGAGGTTTGCTTTTAAAAACTCATTGACGAACTGTACTTTTATAAAGATTTTTAGTGGTTCTTTGATGCCCAGTTGGTAACAAATACCTTTGCTCATGACTTCCTGAACAGTAAAACCAAAAACTACATAATCACATGGTTGGAGGGAATGAACTGGTGTGAAGAGCAGAATCTGGGTGATGCAAACTGCTGAAGGCTGATGGCTTATCTACATCTAACTTGGAAGACATTTAAATGCATTCATTTATCCTACCTCAAAGAGATTTAGCTGCGGTTGCTGAATTGGTACAGGTGGGGGCACTTATGAAAATGACATTCCTACTATAAAGCCAACACTAATTGTTGAATATAGTACCACCCAACGTATGAGCTAAGCATTGAAGCTACTGAATGCTTGTAAAAGTACCTCCTAGTTCTGATTATTTAGCTGCTGCAGGACTATATAAAAGTTATATATGTAAGGCAGTAACTGGATGAGATCACTATTATTTTTTAACCAAAAAGTTGGCCTCACTTTTCTCAGTCTTTCTTCAACAGTGCAGCTGTAACATGGATACAAGCCTTTTAGTTTGCAAAGCATTTCTCATGCAATCATCCTCATCCCTCATTTGCAGATGAAGTAACAGAAGGTTGAGTTGTCTCAATAGCTTTATCTCTGGATTCTGATAATGTTAGGTTCAGAACAACGTATATTTCTAAAATGATGAAGGCAGATTAAAAGCAAGGCCTTTCCAATTATTCAAATGTTTATTGTAAGCTCTGCCAAGTCCTGGGGTTTAACCATTTTTAATGAGAGATTTTGCAAGGGCAGTATACGAAATATACCCTCGCAACTCCTGCTAGAACATGTGGCTTTTCCTAGCTGATGGACCCAAGAAGGGAACAGCATGGTAGATGGTGTGCAGCCAACAGGGACTTGCGTGTGGTGTATCAGATGCCAAACTCCCGTCACCAGCCTGTGAATCAGGAAAACAGCAGAGAGAGATGTATCTGTCATTTCTAAGAGACATCATAAAGAAACTGGCTGAGACTGTGTAGAGAAAGGCGGTGGAATATAAGATACAGACTTGTCATTTGTGCTAGAATTGACCACAATCTTACAGCTGAGAGACACCATTAGAGCTCATCGACTCACAGCAGTTGATTCGGTGTTGTGTGTGTTAGCATGTAAAAACTGATGGGGGAGTGTACTTGTGCCCTGGAGCATGAGAATACCATTTCAGAACAGCTGTTAGGGGGGTGATCAGGGTGGTAAAATTCTACATCCATTGCACTGACTGGAAGGTAGAGGCCTGGCTACTAATCTAGGGCTATTCAATACATATACATGCACCTCTCAAACAGGTGTAGATAATTTTATACAAAGGCAGGAGAGGAAGGGAAAAAAGCCACTCAAAGCTTCAGTAATTCAATAATTTATTCCTCTAAAAAAGTGTGTAAAAGTATATAGCTCTCATCCACAAGGTATATATGAATGACATTTAAAATGGAGGCCTTTTATTATTGTTTCTTTTTATCAAAGTCTTTTAGTGTACTGTACCAGCGCTATACTGTAGTTATTTTTTTAAATGAACTTCACATATTTTTGTATTCTTTCAAATTGTTTGCTATATATAAAAGAAGCTCACTGCAAAATGCTTGAAGGAAAAAAGGAAACAAAAGAAATTCAGAACTTCCCAGAAATGTACAGCTTTTACATTTAAAAAAGGTTCTGAAATATACATACAAGCATGCTGGACAATCCCACCCTTTTCCCCTCCCCATTTCCCCTTTTTTTGTTCAAACCATGGTAAGAGTTCTGATTTCTGCAGAATTTCCAAAATTAAAAATAAAAAAAAATAAAATAACTTCTCACTCTGTAGCAAATCCAGGGCTTGTACATTTCAGATTAATTCAGTAAAAAACTCACAAGTAAAATAATGCATATTTAAGGGAAATATTATACAGACTTTTTCACACAGAAGTACATAATAAGATTTTTTAAAATCTATTGCCATTCATTTATTTTTGCACAAAAACGTATAAATATGTCACCAGCTTTTCTTAACTTAAAAAACTTAAATAAAAGACACCAGATGAAAACTACCCTTTGCTGCCATTTTTTTTAAAGTTTTTTTGTAGGGGTTTTTTATTTTTTGTGTTTTTTTTCTTTTTCTGCTTAGAATTGGGTTTCTAGGGAAGAAAAGCCCCTGCATTAAAAACAGCCCATTTAAAAAAAAAATTCAAAGTTCTGATGAATTCCGGGAAAAAAGCAACCCCAAAGTGGTAAAAGATTACAAATATCTACTTTACAATTTGTCTTCTCACCAAGATAATTTTATACAAGTTTACAATCTTCATCTTCTTATGCTCTTCAAAAGGCCTTGAGAATTTTCCTTTCTGATTAAGAAAAAATAGCACTGCAATATTTTTAAAGTCAATTTTACACTGTACACATTAGATACAAATGGTTTGATATATCAGATTTTTTATCCTATACATTGCGAAAGTCAACCCCCCCTTCAACTGGTGGTACAGAGAACAAAATTATCCATTTACAAGTTATTTCTCTGCTTTCACATTCCCACCACACAACTTTTTTTTTAATATAATGTTTTAAACTTTAGATTATTTCAAGAAAAATACTTTTACAAAATCATATCAATTATTACATTTTTCCTTTTTTGTTAATAACCAGGACATGGAAGTCTCTTGGAAGAACTTTTAAAATTTGCATGATTCTCTCCACAGATGACAAGAGCTCAAAGGCCTGGTCACAGTGGCTCCCGGGAGGCCAGTACACACCCACTGTCCTCAGACAGAAACACACAACACAAGGGTTAGAAACAGGGTTTCAAAGACAACCCTCTGGGCCAGGAATGAGGAGTCATAAAATACTTCAATTAGCCATTAATGCTTTAAAAAGGCATTTTTTTAAAAAGTCCCACCACAAAGGCTCAACTTCAAGTACTAATTTAATGGTTAAGTTGTAATATTTCTTTGAAATAATATTCCTATGGTCCAGAAAAAATTCACCATATTTATAACTGATTTCATGAGCAAACACTTTCAATTGTTGTATGTACATAAGTCCCTTTTGATCTAATGAGAGGAGAGACCTGGCTTCCAATAAGAATTCACTAGAAAATATATTTCCGTTGTGACTATATAAAACTAATTAAGGTACTTGCCTCCATGGCTCTGAGTTGAGCTTGACTGCCTTCTGTATAAAAATGTTATCCTTCATGAAATGCTGGCCACTTAACATGGCAGAACTTTTAAAATCCAGTTTGTTGTTAACAAAACCTACTGCTGGGTGGTTTTGAATATATTACTTTTAGGCATGATCTCCCCAATGTGTTTTTACTCCTTTTCCGGCTTCTAGGACAGAGGTATGTAGTCAAAGAATCCTATGGTGGATCTGAATTGGGTTTCAGCTACTGTACCTGGTCCTTGTGAATTAAAAAAATAAAGTCACAAAAACCATATGACAAAACAAATTAAAATAAATAAACAAAATGAAGCTGTCTCCAGACCTTCTGCATTGACACACAGGTTTGAAGTCAACCAAAGCACTCATGCTAATCTGGATGGGAACACTAGGGAGACAGAAACCCCAGTATGAAACCATGTACTTGAGCTGGTTCTTATTTTTAAAAAGTCCCAGATTATGGAGTTCAGGTAACCCACAGGCCATACACCAGTAACTAAGAGGATTTCATCCAAAGGGCTAGACTGCCCTCAATTGTATACAGAGGCTGAAAACACAGACTCTTGTGCAAAAGGACACTGTCTCTTCTGTTTCCCGCTGAAAAGCCATCAACCACCACCACTTCCTGGGGACCAGTGGTTGGGGCTACACACACCACCGCACTGGCTGAAAGTCACCACTTATGGAAGTTTCCAGGTCCATGAGAGAAGTGTCAAGGAGTCACTCTGGTAATGAACACTGCAGAATTGACATGTGCCTGCTGAGAAGGAATCACAGTGCAGGACTGTGGAGAGTGGTCTGAAGAAAAGGATGTGGGTTATTTGCAGAGTGTAGCAGGTTCCTTGGACTGAGGTTGCAGGGAGAAGGAACTGAGCCAGAGAGAACAAGTGCTTTTCCAATTAAAGTATATTCATGATGGCATTGTACAACTGAGTGAGCACCACAAAGTGGACGGGAAGGCAGGAAGTACGGTCCTGGGTGGCCGGATTGCACGTGAGCCAGGACAGAGCGTTGTACTGCTCCAAAACAAACCTGCCAAAGAGAACACACAGAGCAGGGGCGTGAGCCTCAAGAGGGAAGGCTGGTTCTCAGATTCTAATACATTCCAGATCTTAGCAGGAAGGAGGTCTCAAAGGCATTCCTTAACTTGCCCCAGGCTCTTTCCCTCATCCTTTGTCTCATGTTCCTCCTTCCTTCTAGATATGGACTATCCAGTACAGTAGCCAGCAGCCACACATGGCCATTGAGCTCCGCCAGTGAGGCCAGTAGGAACTTGCGTGGACTGCAGGTAAAGTAGGCACTGGAGCCCAAACACTTAGGGGCCAGGTGCAGTGGCTCACGCCTGGAATCCCAGCAACTTTGGGAGGCCGAGGTGGGGGTGGATCACCTGAGGTCAGGAGTTCAAGACCAGGTGGCCAACATGGTGAAACCCCATCTCTATTAAAAATACAAAAATTAGTCAGGCGTGGTGGTGCATGCCTGTAATCCCAGCTACTTGGGAGGCTGAGGCAGGAGAATTGCTTGAACCTGTGGGCGGAGGTTGCAGTGAGATCATGCCACTGCACTCCAGCCTGGGTGACAGAGCAGGACTCCGTCTCCAAAAAAAAAAGAAAAAGAAAACGAAAAAAAGAAAAGTATGTAAAATATTTCATGAATATTTTTATATTGTTACATGTTGAAATAACATTTTGAGTATATTGAGTTAAATAAAATATATTACTAAAATTAACCAGTTTCTTTTTACTATTTTAATGTGGCTAACAGAAAAATTTTAATTAGATTTGAGGTTCACATTGTATTTCTATTGGACAGTGTTCCTCTAGGGCAGCAGTCTCCAACCTTTTTTGGCACCAGGGACCAGTTTCGTGGAAGACAATTTTTCCACGTGGTGGGGGATGGTTTCAGGATGAAACTGTTCCACCTTAAATCATTAGGAGTCTCATAAAGAGTACACAACCTAGATCCCTTGCATGTGCGGTTCACAATAGGGTTTGTGCCCCTATGAGAATCTAATGTCATTGCCTGACAGGAGGCGGAGCACAGGCTGTAATGCTCGCTCACTTGCTACTTACCGCATGCTGTGGGGCCTGGTTCCTAACAAGGCATGGACGGGGGTTGGGGACCCCTGCTCTAGGGGGCCTGGAAGCCAAATTTATGTTGATCAGGTTCTTTATTTTTATCCATAACTATAATTATACATTAATCTATAATATATAGTTTCCTATCATTTCCTAACCATTTAAGAGTTAGAAAACATTAGAAAAGGCCTGTATATTTTCTCAAGGTAGATGAAGAATGCCTGTGGCTTGATTAATACACACTTCTGGAATGCACTTCTCAACTATGTCATTTATGTTCTAGTCCATTTTTAAAAAAACACATAATCGGTGGCTCATGCCTGTAATCTCAGCACTCTGGGAGGCTGAGGCAGGCAGATCATGAGGTCAGATCGAGATCATCCTGGCTAACACGGTGAAATCCCGTCTCTACTAAAAATACAAAAAATTAGCCGGGCATTCTGGCGGGTGCCTGTAGTCCCAGCTACTTGGGAGGCTGAGGCAGGAGAATGGCATGAACCCAGGAGGCGGAGTTTGCAGTGAGCTGAGATCACGCCTCTGCACTCCAGCCTGGGTGACAGAGCGAGACTCCATCTCGAATAAACAAACAAAAATACATAATCTATCTCAGGAAGCATAAAAAGTGTTTTCAATGTGAGGTGCTTTAAGAGTTCCAGACACTGTCTTCTAACTATCCACCCCCAAGATCTGACCTCTCTTCATCACCATGAAGTGCCTGCTCTGAACAGGAAGCAAAGGCAACTATAAATGCCTATCACTGCCTAACTGAATCCAATGTATTACACCGCCTGTCCCATGCAGCTATGAGGGACTGCAGCTCTCACTGACTCATCAGATACTGTATCACTGCACAAACGGCAGCTTCTATGAATACCACACTTAGATTAAAACACCTTGGAAAGACAACAGTAAAGGAATATTGTTTCAAATTGCACTGCTATGATGCCTAGGTTGGTATCTACCTTAAAACATCCGACGTGGTTTTGGAGTCAAGAGGGTGTGGAACCCGCTGAGAATTCCTGGCAGGCAGAAGTTCGTCTGTCTGTGCTACTGAAATGTGGTGATGCAGCGAAGCCTGGTGAAAAAACAAAGAGAGTTACCTCTCTGGTCTAGACAATCACAGTGCAGAAGTGAGGGAGGCCATGTCTGCCAGAAGCAGATGCTCCCAAAAGTCCGTAGAAGTCAGGGTTTCTGTGAGTCTACAAATTTTAACCTGCTCAGTAACCCCCAAGGTAATCCCAAATAACTTCTTATCCTAGAGTTGGAAAAAAACAAAAAAAAAGCAAACTTTTTGGGCTTTTTTTGTCTACTACATTTTGTTTCTTCAATGGAAATAGTCTAGCACACACAAAAATACTATAATATATAATAAGGTCCCATGAATTGATATCGCCAAGATGCAACAATTATCAATATTCACCACTTTTCTGTTTTCATTTTCTTTTTCTGAATTAAACACAAATATTACCATCTCTATAAAACATTAAAAAAAAATAGCTGGGCATGGTGGTGTGTGCCTGTAGTCCCAGCTACTCAGAAGGCTGAAGCTGGAAGATTGCTTGAGCCTGGGAGGATGAGGATGCAGTGAGCTGTGATTGCACCACTGTGCTCCAGCCTGGGCAACAGAGCAAGACTCTGTCTCCAAAAAAAAGAAACAAACAAACCAACCCCCAAAAAACCCTCCCCACAAAAAAACAAATATTGTATTATTTTGCTTGTAAAAAGTCAGTAGATGTCTCACATAAGGACCTTTAAACATAACAGTAATTATCACAGAAAAATTAACAATGATTCCTTAATATTATCACCCCATCTGTAGGATAATGAGGAAGATAATGCTCCATTATCTCAAAAATGTCTTTTTATAATTGGTTTACTAAAATCATGAGCCAACATGATCTGTACATGACAAATGATTAAAGGCATGAAATGTCTACTGTCCCACTTGAAGTCACATGATTCATCACTGGGTTCAGGTGATACCAGGACACTACATCCATCATAAAGTTCCTCATCAACTTTTCACCTAATGGTTTTGGTATTACTTTACATGTAAAGGAGAGGCAACATATAAATGCTTCTTTCTCTTTATTTTTTTATTTTTCAGACTGAGTTGATGCTCTAGCAACAAATGATGACTGATTTTTTGTTTGTTTTCCAACACAATTATGAACCAAGGATTTGTTTCATTCTATCACTGTCATCATTTTTTTTAATGATCACACTGTCCCATCCTATCCCTGGACAACAGAGCTGCCCCCTAAGATGGCTCCTGAGGCCCTGCTGGACCATAATAATCTTTGGTAACTTTCTTCCTTTTAGGTGTGACAAGATGCCTCAGGTTCATTGTGAATATTTCCTGCTGCATATCTGGAATCAGTCATCTCTTCAAAGAACCACAGTTCCTTTAAATGACAACGGTGTGCAGGAACCACATTCGTGGCAACAGAGGTGTTTATTGCTGCTAAGCTTTTTCAGCAGACAGAGCTAAAAAAATGTGTATACTTTTTTAGAGAGGAAAAATAAATCTATGCTCATATTGATAATTCTAATTCAAAATAAAGAACACATGCATTTTTATAAACCTTCTTTGATTTTATAATAGTATGTTAAAGTCATTAGGAAAAGAACATTGCTTCACTGTCTAATAAGTTTTTGGTTTAATTTCCATCGTTTCTTTCTGAAAATATACACAGCTATGTGTGTACGTGTATATGTGTGTGAATGTGCATATCTTATAGATTACTCCATGGTAATCTCTACTCCACAGAATGATTACATAGAAATGGTCTCCATTTTGTTGTAGATGATTAATATTTCACTGTCTGGATGCACCACAGTTGATTCAATCAGTCCCTCACTGATGACACTTAGGTTCTTTCTAGTCTTGGACATATGTCATTTTCTGTTTTGGCAAAGAACCTTTGGGCTATTCCTTAGAGGTGGGATTGCTGCCCTGAAAGGGAAGTGTGTAGGGCTATATCATTCAGCAATCCCACCAACACCAGGGCCTGCTCCCCACATCTGGCCAACACAGTATGCTGCCAAATCTTTGTATTTTTGCCAATCTGTGGGCAAGAGATGGATTTCATTCTAGGTATTGCTGTTTTTAACATAAACTGCAAGTAGGGGATCTTTTGTTTTGAACCCTTAAAATTGGGATTAAAAGGTTCCAAGAAATATAAAGGAAGGAGCAAGTGTAAATGTGCGATGTTTTTAGCTGACTCTTACTCTTCTCTAATGAAGAATGTGAAGAGTCCCTGGCAGGGGAAGAAGAGGATGGCTGGTTATTATACCTTCGACACAGGCTTAACTTTACTGATAGTGATGCAATATAGACTTGGAGAAAGACCATCACATTGAACCCCATGCATCCATCCTAGATTTACCCTCTGGGCCCCACTGTTTCCTCCTTGGGCTACAGTGATTCATTTCTTTGTGACATGGTTTTGGGTCCTCCTAAATTCTACTCTCCACCTACAACTGTAATTAAAATTTCCTCAGAGTATAAGTAGATACAAGAGAAAAAAGGAACAGAATAAGATTATGGTGACTAAAACTGAAATTTCTAACCAAAATTAAATTTAAGCGTAAATCACTCATTCCTTGCAAACTTCTAATATGACACCAAACCAACCTTTAAGAAGAGAGGGCACTGGTTTTGAGCCTGGGGACACGATGACCAAAACCACTGGGGAAGATTCTCAGCTTTGGCAGTTGATACAAAATACCCAAGGGCCAGGGGCTGCTGCTTTAGCTCCTCTGGTGCTTCTCTAGAAAGAAGACGCTCACCCTGGCTCTGAAAAACAAAAATCCCAAAAACATGATCAGCATTTATCTTAAAGCTTGAAAAATGAACTTTCATCAGTTCACTCTGCACACTGCAGTGAGTGATCCCCTTTGTGGCAGCATCTCACAGAAAACAACAGGTGACTGAGAAAGGTAAGCGGGGCCAGCATCGTCTTTGCTGCACACATAGAGAAGATACCAGCAAAACTGACAGCCTCAGTCAAGTAAGTACAGATTTATTTGCTTGGGTTTCTTTTCTAAGGGATGTAAGATCTATTTCATGGCATTATGATGTAACAAACTAAAATGGAAAGATTACAATCTCTGACAGCAGAAGGCTCTACCACACGCAGGTGCTCTTTCACCAGCAACCAGCCAAAGACACACAAGCGCACCAGCCTGACCAGGACAATGTGACACCAGTATGTGCACAGCACAAAAGTTCCTGAGCTGCCAGTAGTGCAAGATCTGCTCACAGAGAAGCCATGTTTTCATTTGCAGCATTCCCCTTAATAAGAGACTCCTGGAAGAGGCTATGTTTTGCTGCAACTGACACTTTTCTTATCTTTTAATTCTTTTAGCTAGCTTCATCAATTGAAAATGTACCTTTCATGCAAGCAATAAGTAATGCATTTGTTTTTAAAAGTCTCTGTTTATGCTGGGTGCGGTGGCTCACACCTGTAATCCCAGCACTTTGTGAGGCTGAGGCGGACAGATCACTTGAGGTCAGAATTTCGAGACCTGCCTGGCGAACATGGTGAAACCCCACTCTACTAAAAATACAAAAATTAGCCAGGCACAGTAGTGCACGCCTGTAATCCCAGCTACTCAGGAGGCTGAGGCAGGAGAATCCCTTGAACCCAGGAGGCAAAGGTTGCAGTGAGCCAAGATCATGCCACTGCACTCTAGCTTGAGCAACAGAGTGAGACTCTGTCTCAAAAAAAAAAAAAAAAAAAAAAAAAACCTTCTGTTTGGAAGGAAAAAATAATCTGCAGCTACTACATCAAACTGTATCAATTCTGAGTTGGTTAAAAAAATAAAAAATTTACTGCCACTTTGAACGCATTCTCTTCCCTGCTGTAATGTCTTAACTGGATATCAAAGAATGTTTAATGGTTCAGAAAAAGGAAATGCTGAAAGCCTCTTGGAGGTCACCTGGCTGCAGGTGCTCAGGATTGAAAAAGGCCACCTGGCTAGCTTCAGAACAGCACTGTCTAAATCATGGCATTGAATTAAAGACTTTAGTGCTTAAGGCTCCAAAAAAAGGGAGAAATACAGCATACCTCTGTTTCTTACACAACTAACATTACAACTTCAATAACCAATTCTTTGTTAATGCATAAACTGAATTACAAAAACAGGTACTGGGAGGTAGTTGCTATTATTCCATTTCACAGATAAGGTAACTCAGGCTAAGAGAGGTGAAGTTAGCTTGTCCAAGGTCACAAAGCCCGTAGGCCCAGAGCTGCAATTCAAAGTTGTCTTTAACAGACTGTGGGGCATGCATTCTTAGCTGCTATGCTACTTGCCTCCAGAATTCAAATTAAACCCAACTTTAAAAAAATAGACAATGTAACATTTGTGTTTTTCGTTCCTATCACAACCGTTTCCCATGAACAAATTATCATTAACTGGTAAGTACTGCAAAGGAAACAAAGACCCTTAAAACCCCTTCCTTCCAGAAGAGGGTAATAGGGGCAGGTATAACATGGGAACAGTCTGAGATGCCCTCCTCTGGTCTTACCTGCTCTGTGACTAATCTAAGCTATAAACCTTTTTTCTCTCCAGCGTCTAATAAATTCAGTGCTGGGAATAAAAGTCCCCCCCCCCCCCCGATGAAAACTGAAGTCCTTTATGTCCATCTTTGTGTCTAAATAAATGAGTGTGAGCAGGCTGCTTATGCTTGTTCAGTCTAAGATACCAGACATAGCTATTTTTCAAAGTCTTAACTCCCCAGTCTCATAACATTTTAAATAAACAGTACAATACAGTGATGCAGCAGGAATCATCTAACTGAAGCAAAGTTACCACAAGCTGTGGCAGAACCCTCTAACTCTTAAATCTTCTGTTGTTCATCCACCTCCAATATCCCTGAGATATTTAAAGATGAAACCAGTTGTAAGCTCTGGTTTTTTCCTTAATACTCTGGCGTTAACCTGGACACATCTGTAAAATCAATCTCCTGGCGGCTCTTGCCATTCCTGCAGGTCGGCTAGAAAGAAGAAGGCTGCAAAATGACTAAGCCAGGACACGCAAAGAGCACGGCAGGCTCCTTTCAGAACAAGCCATCACCAACGTGTTCTTCAATCAGCACAATTACTCTGCATGTTGAGTAAGTACGGTTGTTGTACTAATCTCTTAAAAGCCACTATTTTGGCAAAAAATAAAACCATTAAAAAACTGGGAAGCAGCAAGCAACTAGAACTAATTTTTGCTAAGAAAACAATGCATTAAAAACCCTTGCATCTGTAATAGGACTATTCTTCTGATAAAACTTATTCATCAGAAATAATAACATATTTATTTCAAATTCCTGCCTTCTATTCAAAATGGAACCATAGTCAGTTTCCCACACTTATTTCTCTTGTACCAAGGACCCAGACCATCAAGAACTGTGCAAGTAGGAACAAGATGATCAGATGTCCAGTGGATTATCTTCCTAAAGGCTATGGTTGTCTTAAACAACGTACTCCAAATCATCCTTACCCGACTATGCTGGAAGTGAGAGCCCACACCAATTCCAGAAGGAGAGCCTGGGGAGGGTACTGGGGAAGAGTTGGGAGAGGAATGGAGGTTCCCAGTCATTAATATGCCAATATCATTGTCCATATCATCTGGGAATGGAAGGTCAACAAACATATCATCTAGAGGGAAGGGGGGAAAAAAAGCACAAAAATTAAAAAGATAGTCCACATATCAATATCATAATAATCCAACCTAACCTATGTCATGTTTTGTTGGCATATGGCTATTATGGACACACACTGTTAATAACTTAGATTCAGTTAGGACCTACTGAGTGCAAGCTATTACAAATTATTCTTTCATTTTGTACTCTCTCCAATGATCTCCTTATGTACAGTATTAACAGAATGCAATAAAGAATATAACATAAAAACCTACACTCTGCATAGCCTCCAAAGACACATAAAAGTATGGTAAAAGAGCTAAAGCAACAATTTAATCATTAAAATTGACACCATTCAAAAACACAGTAGACTCCATCTATGTATCCACTTAGCATCTAAAACACCAGAGGCTGAATGAATGCATGTTAATGAGTGTGAACTTGCCCTGAAAATGGAGACCTATTCCAAAAGCAAATCAAAGCACAATGTTTTCTCTCTTTTTTTTTTTTTGAGATGGAGTCTCCCTCTGTTGCCCAGGCTGGAGTGCAGTGGCACGATCTCGGCTCACTGCAACCTCTGCCTCCTGGGTTCAAGTGATTTCTGGCTAATTTTTGTATTTTTCATAGAGATGGGGTTTCACCACGTTGGCCAGGCTAGTCTCAAATTCCTGACCTCAAGGGATCCGCCTGCCTCAGCCTCCCAAAGTGCTAGGATTACAGGCATAAGCCACCGTGCCTGGCCCAGCATTTTCATTAAGAAATCCTCCCCAACATTATAAAAGTAAGGTACACTCACAGCAGAAAATTTGTAAAGAAAAGTATAAAAAGTGAAAACCATCACCTAGAACCCAATCACCATGATCATTTTTTTCTATGATTCTTTTATTTTCTCATATATTTGTTATTCTATTGTAATCATACCAGATATAAAATTTGGTATCCTTTTCCTCATCCCATTTACCATAAATAAACACTGGTAGGTGTTATAATTTCTTCAAAAACAATGCAAATGGATGCTGTGTTGAGTGTTTTATAGTTTATAAATAATCATTTTTTTAAACAAATACCTTAACAGCTATTCAAAAATTTCCATTAAGAATAATCAAATAAGGGTTTCTCTATAGCAAATTAGATTGCCATAGACTAGCTAAAGGAAGGTGCTCTCTTCATATTGCTTAGTACTTCACACATTTCAAATCACATCAGCAAATATTTATTGAAAGAGTGGCACCTAAGTACAGAACAGTGCCACGCAGGTATTATTTTTTGCCTTTAATGAAAAATGGAAGAAAGTTAATTGCCCAAACAAGGAAAATATTTATTTGGTCTTGTTAATTGTGCAGATAAATCAAAGCTTTAAGACCAAATAGATTCTCAAACCTTCTATCCCCTCTTTATAGTTCCTGGGTTGTTTATTACAACACAGAAAAGCCATGCGGCAGCCCAGTGATTCCATACTCCGGCTCTGCCCTGCATGAAGGTGAGCACTATCCATACAGGTCTTCTACTCACCATTGTTGGGGCTAAACCCATCTTCATTGGGGTAGTTGGCTGGAGCCACCTGGATGGTTGATGATGTTGGGAACACCAAGATGTGTGTACAAGAAGCATCTTGAGGGGTGTTGAGCTGAGATGACTGCATGTTCAGTGCAGTACTTCGGCCAAAAACAGAGCCCATTGTGACAGCATCTTTAAAGAAAAAAATAGAATTATATCAATCAATGAACAACCCCAGAAATGAGGTTTTCAGAGGGCCTGATCTGGAGTGGTATGAGTCTGATGAAAATGCCATGATAAATACACATTCAAAATTGAGTCCAATTGTTTAAATATCTTCAAAGAAACTGACTCAGAGCACATAGCTGTCTATAATAACCCAAGTTTCATTTCATACTGAAAAGGTTAAGATAAAATTGGACCAAGTCCACTAAATGTTTTAATTACTTACGTAAGAAGTATTTCTAAAAATAAACACCCTACTTTCTTTCCTCCTCTGGTTGTTCACAATTTATAAAGTACTGTTCTAAACGGTTAACAATCCTATAGAGATAGGACCATAAAATCAATACATGTTATAACACTTAATGAATGCTTACTACATGCCAGCATTTGTGCTAAACTCTTCATTCAAGTCATCGCATTTGATCATCACAGCATCTGAAGGTAGGAACTATGATCCCCATTTATAGATGAGGACAAAAGCACAAAGAAGTTACGTAACTGCCCAAGTGGTAGCGGCAACAGAGGTAACCTATAGTCTAATGAGGACATCTGTCTCTCACTGGATTGATGACAAGTAACCCCATTCTCACACCACAATACTGTTGACTTTTATAAGGAATAAGTGGGGAAGGTCCCCCATTTGATTCAAGAAATATCTGGATGGTAAAGATAGGTTATAAAAATATAAAATCGCTCAGTTACTGGTTTTCAAAAACCAGCCAGATTCTTAAGAAATTCTGTGGCCACGTTTTGGCCATCCACAAATGACACCTACATCTATTGAGAGCTTACTGTGTACCAGGTACTGTGCTAACTGCTTTATCCTTGTTTGCCTTCCCATTCATCTTCAACCGTATCAGAGAGACTATAGAAATATCCCTTCGAGGCTGCTGAGAGATTCTGCCAAATGCATGTCTTCAAAAGGATATTCAAATATGCATCATTCTGGTGTCTACTTTCATAGTTCTTTGGAGGGTGATCTTCATATACTAACAACAAACTGGGGTCAGGTAACAGTCATTAGCCATGACTCTATGAGATCTCAATGATATTCAGAACTTAGTCTCTCCCCCGAGCTATGGTCAACAAACATGATAAAATCACAAACCACTCCGCATGGAAGGTATCGAATGTTTTCCATCTTTAAGCCCCAAATACAATCTTCCCTTATAGAAATATAATGAAGACAATTCTACCCTTGTCTGCGGACTTAAGTTTGAGTGGACTGAATTGATGTGATATGTAATTAATGACAATGACAAGAAGAAATTTACCTGGCATCACTACAAAGGACCCCTGGGGCTCCATGGCAACCAGGCAGGCACTAAGGATAGAAGGAGAGTCTGCGGCAGAGATTCCACACATCCGGCACACATCCTTGAGCTTTTTGCTGATTGTCTGTAGTGAACATTCTCCAAGGAGGATACTCCAATCTGAAATCAAATATCGCAGTCATACACAGTCTTTAGAAATTCATACTGATGGGAGATTTGAGCTTTTTAGCAGTTCTGCCCGGTAATTGAATTTCCAAGGTTGGGCCCTAAAGGGAATTATGGCTTTACATATGTTCCCCTCCTTGCTATAGAGAATGTTACTCGACTTCTATTACACTTCATTAACAAAGGAACAAAGGCCTACTATTCTGTGGCTGAAGTCATGTCTGAAATGACCTTTGAGAGTCCAGCACTAATCCAGTCTAATCTACCTAGACCAGATTTAGGCACTTAGAGTGCTTTTCCATGATGACAGCAGTGTTAGCTGCCCTATCCTTTCTCCTCCTTCTCAAGGTCCGATTCTTTCAGTACTCTGCTCTGGAGGAAAGCACTGGCAGGTGGAGGTAAACCTGAGTTTTGTTTATTGTTGTAGGTTAGTTATTTCCATGAAAGTCAAACAGCAGCAGAAATGAAGAGAAATAGTTCTTAGAACACCCAAAAGAGCTCACAACGAGTGTGAGTGAAGTGCTCCAAATGATGCCATACTAATAGTGGAGATTGAAATGTTGGCATAAATTTCCTTTCTAATGTTTATTGCCTCCAAACAAAAGCATTATACCTAACTGGAGCACTGTGGAGGATTATGTTACTCTGAGAAGTGGAAAGCACTTGGTCCCCTCTTCTGACCTCCCTTACACACACGAAGTATGCGCCATTCCTATGCATCACCCCTGCTTTCGGATCCCATCTTGCTCATAAAATGCCACACCAGTGCAGGCTGCTCTACCTCCACACTTTTTTTCCCCCAAATAAGCTGCCATTTCTCCCCTTAAAGAGCAAGTGAATGGAAAACTGTTTCCATATTCCCAATGAACCCCAAACTGAAGTGGCTGAAATAAAAGTGGCCAGGAACATGAAGAATGTTTGTTTTAAAACTATGGGAAATCACAGATGTGAGCTTCATATTTCAAACCAAGTACGAAAGAAAAGGCAGTGTGTATTTCATCATAAAGACTCTGGAGATAAGAAACAGAAATTCACAAAGCTGACTCTGAAACCTAAGGCTCCTGTCATACACTGTCCCATGGAGATGCAATGTGGCACAGATCTTGGCTCCTCAAAGGAAGGAGCTGTAGATTAGTAAACAGATTTCCTGTACACTAGGTTCTTCCTGTGTTTTTATTCCTGAACATACATTTTCTTTCAATCTTTTGATGGGCTCCTCCAGTCACACATTCCTCTCCACTAAGAGATAAGGAAGAAGAATGTGCCCTTACAAAAATCATACAAAGGAAGGAGATGGCCTTAATAATTTTCCAAAATACCAAGTGACTAGACTATTACTCTATATTTTTATCCTCCCTCTTCTTTCCTATTATAGTCTAACTTTCCCCAAGGGTTAAGAATAGCTCAAAGCCTTTAAGAAATAAGATTGACTAAAAAAGCAGACTGGGGAGGAAGATAGAAAATTCTGACAGAAATAAAATGATGAATCCCCTAATGTATTAGACCTCCAGGCTCTTGATACAAGATTCATTATGATATTCCTTTAAAAAATGAAAAGGGTCTATTAGTCTACAGTACAACTTATTACTTAAAAAATTTGTAAATGCCAAAGAAAACATTTACTTAATACATATGATGTAATATTTATATAAACTGCTGTTAAACCCTGAAAATTTGATACCAGATTTAACCTGCATTGTAGGAAGCGAGGTACACTTAGGCATTCCTACAGTGCAAGTTATATCTGTACCAGTGATTTTTGTTTAGGGATTCTACAAATACCTGATGTGAATTTCCTATAAAAAAAAAAAGTACATGGTCTAATGCAGGGACCAGCAAACTATGATCCACAGGCCAAATCCTGCCTCCCATTTGTTTTTGTAAATAAAGTTTTATTAAAACACAGCCATCCACACTTGTCTAGAGCCGCTTTGACGTTACAACGGCAGAACTGAATAGTCACAACAGCAACCATCTGGCCTGCAAAGCTGAAAATATTTACTATCTGGCCATTTACAAAGAAACTTTGCTGACTCTGCTCTAATGTATTTGCACCCAGGAAGCCACCAAGCTAATCTGTGACATTAAGTCTTTCTTTTGTGCAGATCTTAGGGAAAAAACTTCTCCCATCTGAATGCATATATTGAACTTCTTACAAATCTGTCATTACTTAATAAGGCTTTAAAAATAATCTAGGCTAATTCATACTACTCACATAAAACTGTACAAGTAGCTACATTGGGATAGTAAATGAGCTGGGCTCAGCACCAGGCAAGGCAGCTGCTGGTGGTCAGTTGTGTTGTGTTACAGTTAAAGTGCTTCCTGACTGTTAAATTTATGACAAAGAATATAAGCAGTGGTAGTTGGGGACTGAACTTCAAAAATCTGCTCTTGTAAGCTTCCAGGCTCAAGAACATCAGACAGTGGCAATGTGAATAAAGACTGCCTCTACTGGCAACTACTTGTCCTCATGAAACAGGATTTCTTTGCTGTTGTGCCACCAAAAAAACTAAAGAAACACAAAACTCATCATCAACCACCAAACAAATTGAAGGCTGTTTTTATATGACTTCAACTGTCACCTATAATCACTGATATAAAATTTTTGTCTTAAAACTGACTAGTTCTTCTCCCTGATTCAATATATAAATAAATGTTCGAAATGTGAATTTACTATCATTTTTATATTAATAAAACCCTCTTTTTGTTTTATATATTGGGGCTCAAAATTTAAGATTTTATTTGGATATTTATTTTGTTGCCAAAGAAGAGTTTAAAACTGGTTTATCCTGTACATATAAAAGAATCATAAAATAGAATCTGTTTAATTCTTACAAATTTAAACATTTTCTCCCTTAGCTCAGTTAATGACAATAGCTGAGCCCTTTTCCTCTGTCTTCTGCAAATACTTCTTCAAAAATTTCTCACCTTTAAGCTCCCCATGGCCAAGACGCCCAAGTCGCCCGATTACAACTCTCCAGGGTAGAGATGTCATTTGGACAATCCCTATGCACCACTCCCATAACTTCTGTAGTCCAATTTTACGTGCAGATACTTTACTCCTCCGTGACCTAACAAATAAAGAAATGGGGAAGGGGAAGGGGTCCCTAGATAAATCAGAGTTATTTATCACTTATAAGACAAACACTAGAAATTCCAAAGAACCTATCCATGCTGTACCCACTTCATTTACATAGAAAACTGGAAATATTCATATTTGAGGAACGGTACAGCATTAATTTACATGCACCATAAACATCAAGTCTTCTCACCTGTTTGGTAAAGCAATATTTACAACGCAGGTCTCTAATAATTCCCCATGGAGGTCAGTGCAGGAAGCCAAAAGCCAGCGCTGGTCGTGAGACAGACAATAGCCCACGAAGAGCACATTGTATTTCTGGCTCGCCTCACCAAACGTCTCTCCCAGCTCTGTCTGCTTGTCTTTGATTGGGGCCAATATAAAGGGAGGGGAGTAAAGCTGGATTGGGCTGGGCCGCTGAAATCAAAACCAAAATCAATATCAGTACAAAGCCATACAACTTAATGATTACAACAAAATCCAGAACGACACTGAGGGGACCCACAGGGAGTAATGGTAGTAAATCGTTTCTCTCTCTCTCTCTCCAGTACTAGAGACACATAAATAGTACTGAGGACACATAACAAAATGATTGTTTAAATCATGTAAGCTGGGAAACTCAATCAAGCCAGTATTTCCTTATTAAAAGAAATTACTATTTTAGAAACTGCATTGGCCCAACTTCATTAGTTGTTAGGCAAGTGGGAAATTGAAACTACAATGAGATAATGCTACACAACCACCAGTATGTCGAAAATAAAAAAAGAGAAAATATTGGTAAGAATATGGAGCAACAAGAATTTTTATACATTGCTGCTTAAGCTGAACAAACATATACTCCCTTTGAACCAACAAAATGCACATATATGTTTACCAAAAAACAGGTATAAGAATATTCACGATAGTATTAATCACAATAGCTCCAAACAGAAAGTTATCTAAATACTCATCAACAGTGAAAGAGATAATAAATTGTGATATAGTTAACAGAATCAGAATATTAAACAGCAATGAGAATGAAAAAACTATAAGCAACAAAACAGATGAATCTCAACAATGAATAAAAGAAGCCGAATGTGAAAGAATACAAAGTAGATGATTCAATTTATATCAAGGTCAAAGACAGGCAAAACTACACTGTCAGAAGTCAGAATAGTGACTATCTTTAAGGGATTGGAAAGGCCACAAGAGGGGCTCTGGATACCAGTTATGTATTTGCTTCTTGCACTTGTTAAATGATATTTTTTTAATTACTGAAAATTCATTCAGCAGTACACTTATGATTGAGTACTTTTGAGTACATATATAGTTTAATATGTGTGTCTGTGTATATAATTTTAAAAATCAAATCAACAGTTGTTACCAAATATAAATATTTTAGATCAACTGTGAAAATGTTTTAATTGTCATATTTTTTACAGCCATCATAATACACATCTTACTATTTAATAAACTACAACAGGGGTCAGCTAACTTCTACAAAAAAGAAAACCAGAGAATTAAGTTTAGATTTTTATGGCTGTCACACATTCTCCTTTTTGTAAAAATGTACTCACTGGCTAAGTGTGTTGGCTCATGCCTGTAATCCCAACACTTTGGGAGGCTGAAGTGGGAGGATCACTGGAGCCCAGGAGTTCAAGACCAGCCTGGCCAACACAGTGAGACTCCCTCTCTACAAAAAATAAAATAAAATTAGCCAGGCATGATGGTGCATGCCTGTAGTCCCAGCTACTTGGGAGGCTGACTGCCTGAGCCTGGAAGGTCGAGGCTGCAGTGACCCAGGTTCATGCCACTGCACTTCAGCCTGGGCGACAGAGTAAGACCCTGTCTCAAAAACACAAAAGTAATAATCATTCTTACCTAGCTGGTCATTCAAGTACAGGCTGCAGGCCAGATACAGCCCAAATCCATAGTTGCTGACCCCTGAACTACACAGCATTAGGCATGGCAGTAACAGAATGACACAATTTTAAAGCTAAAAGAGACTTTGAAAATAATATAACCCAACTCATTCATTCATCATAGGGATTCAAAACTCAGGCTGAGAAATATTCAATGACTTGCTCAAAGTTGCAAAGCTAATCTAACACTCATCAATTCACTCTCCACATGACCAGAAACTGCACTCTTAGGTATTTATCAAGAGAAAGAAATATTATGTCCACACAAAAACCTTGTACATATTCATAGCAGCATTATTCACAAGTGCCAAAAAGTGGAAACAACCTAAATGTCCATCAACTAATGAATGGATAGACAAAATGTGGTACAGCCATACGATGAAGTATTATTTAGCCAGGAAAAGAAATGAAGTACTGGTACATGTTATGACATGGATGAACCTCAAAATCATTATGCTAACTGGAAGAAGCCAGACATAAAAGATCGCATATGGCCAGGCGAGGTGGTTCACGCCTGTAATCCCAGCACTTTGGGAGGCTGAGTCAGGCAGAATGCTTGAGCCAAGGAGCTCAAGACCAGCCTGGGCAACATAGCAAAACCCCTATCAAAAAATTACAAAAATTTAGCGAGGCACGGTGGCACATGCCTGTAGTCCCAGCTAATCCAGTGGCTCAGGCAGGAGGATCACTTAAGCCCAGGGAGGTCGAAGCTGCAAGTAACCGTGATCTTGCCACTGCACACCACCCTGGGTGACAGAGCGAGACCTTGCCTCAAAAATAAAAATAAAAAAATTGGGGGGAAGACTGCTTGAGGCCAGGAGTTCAAGACCAGCGTGAGCAATATAATTAGACCCTGTCTAAAAAAGAAAAAAAAATCATATATTGTGTGATTCCATCTATAAGAAATGTCCAGAACAGGCAGCTCCATAGAGACAGCAAGTAGACCAGTGGTTGCCAAGGACTGGAGTGGGGAATGAGTAGTGTGTGCTAATGAATATTGTGTTTCTTTGAGGGTTGATGAAAATGTTCTAAAATTAGATAGTAGTGAAGACTGTACAACTGTGTGGAAATACTAAAAACCACTGAACTGTACAATTTTTTTTCTTTTTTTTTTTTTTTTTGGAGACAGAGTCTCACTCTGTCGCCGAGACTGGAGTGCAGTGGCGTGATCTTGGCTCACTGCAACCTCCACCTCATGGATTCAAGCAATTCTCCCGCCTCAGCTTCCCAAGTAGCTGGGATTATAGGCATCCGCCACCACGCCTGGCTAATTTTTTTATTTTTAGTGGAGACGGGATTTTGCCATGCTGGCCAAGCTGGTCTCGAACTCCTGACCTCAGGTGACCCGCCAGCCTCAGCCTCCCAAAGTGTTGGGATTATAGGCATGAGCCACCGCGCCCGGCCTGAACTGTAAAATTTTTAAAAAGAATTTCGTGATATGTGAATTGTATCTCAATAAAGCTGTTATTAAAGCAAGAAAAGTCCAGCTGAGTTTGCCTGGAGTTTTTTATAAAACGAATGGCTAAATGTGAAATATCTTAGATATAATAGATAGCATCTGAAAACACTAAATAAAATATGATTCCCAAACTGTGTTCTGAGATGCGAGATATTCCATGAAAAACAAAAGATAACAGCAATTGGATTTATTTGAAAACTTGCATAATAAAAACTATAAATTCTTTCACATGTGATAACTTGCATAAAACTGTGCCACCCAGAGAATGAGAATTGCATGGAGGCAGGGGCCTGTTTTGTTCACCCCTGCATCCTTAGCACCTAATACAGCACCTGGCACACCGTAGATGCTCAACTGTATTTACCAAATGAAAACACAATGTTCTCGCTGCAGACTGAGGCAGAGGCAGCATTGACCAACTAACCATTACCTTAATGCAGATTAAAATGTATAAACTTCAGCAAATATTTATAACATTTGGTTCTTTTGTTTTTAATAAAGTAAAATCATTTACTTCTCTCTTCCTGTTCCAAGCAAAATGGAGAAAAACGATATTACTCGAAGTCTTTTTGCCATTTATTTTAATCTAAACCTCACTTTATCTTATGAGCTCCTGATGGTGTTCTGCCTGAGCATAATAACCTTTAGAAAGGCAATAATTCATAATTTCTGGAAACAAAATAAAAAACAAGTAGAGACATTTATTTTTGAAATTCTAGAAAAATTTAACAGAGAAAACAGATGAATTGCTCATAGAAGTGAAAAATTCAAACTCAAAGAATAAACTAAACTAAAACTGCCTAAAATAGAAATTTTATATAACACTGGAGTGAATGTAGGTCATTGGCTGAGCAGCTTTTCTCCCTTGGGACTAAGCTGACCTGCACCAAGTTACAACAAACACAGTGTTAACTACTTGCATCATTTTTCACTCCCAAGCATTTTACTTATAAAAGTGCAAGCATTTCATAGAGTTGTTCAGAACAACATTACCAACTAAAAATAGCAATTGGTGTTTTAAGGAGCTCTCTTATGGTAAAGAGGTGTATGCTGGCTTTTACTAATGGGATACTTTTCATGCAATAAAATTGTGGGAACTGATTTTTGAAGGCTTTGAAAATTCTGAACATTGCTTTTTATACCTATCTTCAAGATAAGGTGATTAGAAAAACAAAGGAAGTGTAAAACTTTTGTTTAAAACATGTTTAGCTTTGGTGTTGTAAAATTCCCTTTGAGATCCACACATATCTGTAGGAAGTAGGTTTTAAAAGATGGAGTGAAAATGCATTCATTTATATACGGAAGCACTGAGGCAAGGAAAGGAGAAATCAACTTCCTCTAAGTATGTGCATCACAAAACGAGGGACCCCTGCAGAGTAAACACAACTACAACTGTTGTCCCAGGATACAGACCAGAGCTGGAAAACGCAAAGGATTTCTGATCTAAGACACAGATTAGCTTAGAAAAATAAAGAAAATAAATTTAGGAAATTAAAACATTAAAAACTAAAAGGGATACATTTATTATTGCCTAAAGTCCTACATAAAAAAAACAGTAAGAATTTGCTTGCCTCTCTTCTCAAAAATGTTTTAAAGTTCAGAGAAGTATCTCCTCTATTTAAACCTAAGAGTTAAAGAAACCTGCCAACTCGTTTTTATTCCCCCCTGAGACAGGGTCTTGCTCTCCAGGCGGAAGTGGTTATGTGATCACAGCTCACTGCCATCTCAAACTCCTGGGCTCAAGTGATCCTTCCACCTCAGCCTCCCAAACAGCCAGGACTACCGGCACACATCACACCTGGATAATTTTTAAAAGAAAATTTGTAGAGATGGGGTCTTGCTATGTTGCCCAGTGTGGTCTCAAACTCCTAGGCTTAAGCAATCCTTCCACCTCAGCCTCCGAAAGTGCTAAGACTACAGGTGTGAGCCAACACATCCAGCCTAGCAACTCTTATATCAATGTAGAAGACCAACTAAGCAACCAGCCAATCTCTGGGTTAGATAAAATACCTCTTCTAGCTTGCATTTTAGTATAAATTTTCTAAGTTTCTGTCCTGCCAATACCTACCTCAGGGTTCTTGAGGGTCATCTCAATGCTGGCTGCAGGCCCAAATCCCGTGAGGGATTTAATGTGGATCTGTGTAGGCAGTGGTCGCCTGCACTGGCAGTACACTGAAAATGCCATGGACTTCAAGTATTGAATGTAGAAAACTTGCTCATCCTTCATTGTCTGCAGCATGTACTGGCAAGGCACAATCTAAAGACACAAATACAAAAAAAAAACAAAAACCAAAAACCTAGAAACTGAGATCTAACACACTAACAAGCAAGCTGAAAAAGGAAACGGCATGAATTCCTTACCACAATGGGGAGAGGTAACCTCAGCCTTAAAATATATCTGTGCCACACATAATATAATTAAATCCTAATTCCTTCCGCTGACATAAAATTCTCTATCACCAGCAATTTCAAAAGATGTACGATTATGTTGGTCAAGTTATACTGTCACTTAGAAACTACCATGTTCCCACTTTAGGGGTAAGATCTCAATTTATTACAGGTATTACCATGGCCCCAAAATTTTATTATATTTCTTTTTATAATTACACAGTGTGTATGGCATTTTTTGGAATTATTACCTAATCATTTAGGATACAGACTTCAAAACAATGGAAAACTATCAGCAATGTACTCTGATAACTTTAATTTCAATCTTTTAATTTTACAAGATAGCTTCAGTTAAAGTGACATTAAAACGAAACCCAAACATCCGAAGCATTGTTTTTCATCTATATAGAATTTTTTAAAAAATCATTACACTATAAAGCTGTCAAAGGTGCAGTGAAAATAAGCATACTCATTCACTGATGAAAGGAAATAAGTGTAACCTCTTTTGGAATGGAATTTGGCAATATTTGTCAGCATCTAAGAATCCATGTTAAAAATGACCTGAAATGTGAAAAATAAGATTATACATAAACGTGTCCTATGGCTTTATTTATAACAGTAAAGAAGTGGAGATATAGGAATGACTATGGAAAATATGCAGTCATTAAAAATGTTGCTTGTAAGAATTTAAATAATATGAAAATGTGTTAATGAATAACATTAGGTAGAAAATAAGTTATATTAAAAGTATGATCTCAACTGTGTAAACAAAAATAGAGAAACAAGCTAGAAATACACCAAAATGGTTATGGTGGTTGAATGTAAAAGACGGAATTATGACTATTTTTCTTTTATACTTTCATGTACAGGTTGAATATCCCTAATCAAAAAATCTGAAATCCAAAATGCACCAAAACCCAAAACTTTTGGAATGCCAATAAAACGCCACAAGTGGAAAATTCCGTTATCAGACCTCATGTGATGTATTGCAGTCAAAATTTAATCAAAACTTTGTATAAAGCACAACATGACCAAAAATATTGTATAAAATTACCTTCAGGTTATGTGTGTAAGGTGTATATGAAACATAAATAAATTTTATGTTTAGACTTGGGCCCACTGCAAAGGTCTCCCATTATATATATGCAAATATTCCAAAATCGGAAATCCAAAACACTCTGGTTCCTAGTATTTTGGTTAGGGGATAATTAACCTGTACTTCCATTTTTTAAGAAAAATCATAGGCCTGTATTTATTTTCATAACAACAAAAATAACAACATCAAAAGTAAATAATAAACTTGCAAACAGTAACCTGGAGAATGAAAGAATTTCTCATATGCTCAGGTAAATTATCCAGCATTTCTGTGTAGCAGCGCATCAAGCTCAACAGCCAAAAGTTCCCAGAAGTGGAGTCCTCCTCTGCAGCATACGTGAACGGGTCCACCATGTAAATGACAACAGCTGGAGGGTGGGCATGGCTGTCTGCAGAGTCAGGCTCCGTGGGAATTCCTATTCTCTCCCTTTCTGTAACACTGGAGAGAGAGTCACTTGTGAGATGCACAAAATAAATATAAATTACACGAACATGAAAAACAAAAGGGCTCAATTCTAGAGCACACAGGCTCCCTAAAGAATGTTTACAGATTAAAGGTAAGAGTAACATTTATCACCTTACCAAAATACAGGCAAACCAAGCCAGAGAGCATCGAGGGCAGATGGAAAATGGCAATGTACTCCTCTAAAATGGGAGGTATCTTTTTCAACTCCCCTTTCTTTTCTGTGGTTATGTTGTACAAAGTTGTTACTAATTAAGTTGATAGTAAGTAAGTTTAATAATAAAGTTTATAATTCATAATAATTTATAAGAAGTCTCAAATTTTTAACACTGCAGCTTTAGATCGACCATTGCCCCTTTCTTTTGAGAAGAGAAATAGAGCACTTCATAGGATTCACAGAATCATGAGGTCAAGGGAGAAAAGGTGCAGAAGAAGAAGAGAGAAAGGGTCTGAGCTGAAGCCACTCATCTCAATTAGTGAATAACATACCTCTCTTGTCCATCCTGTGAGGGCTGAGAAGAGCTCTGCCCAGGGTCAGTGTCTCCACCACAGCCTATGTTCCCTTGCGTTCTATCCGCAGAAATGCCCCCAGTGCTGGGGTTCTGCCCTCCAACACTACCACTGAATCCTGAAGAAGAGGTAGTGCTTATCTGGCTAATACCAGGAGCAGAGGCAGACGATGAGACCGGTGGCACAGAGGAACCAGATGCAGAACTACTTGCTGCAGGATTTGTAGAACTACTATTCGAGGTGGGATTAAATGCACTGCCAGCTGGGGGAGCTGCTGATCCATTTGGAGCTAAGGGCCCAGCATTCCCTGGCGTAGCTTGTCCCTGTGCTGCTGCTGGTGGGGTCTGGTATTTAGGTGGTATCAATAGGCTGCTATCAAGCTGCAGAGTGGCTAAATAAGGTGCTGAAAGAATACATGCAAAGAGGTGACTTTAGTGATATTCTGCAGTGTCGGACTGAACCAGAATCTAGAATGGTCACTTGTAAAAACATTATGCTTTCAGGCTGCAATACTCTGATTACAATACCCAAAATACTATCTCCACAGTCATGCTTATGTATTCTGCAAACATGGAGATGCACATGGAGCAACTTATAAATTCTACAGTAGAGGCTTGTTTGAAAAGAGAAAATCAATCACTTGTGATAGTCTCCTTTCAGACTGATTCCATGTGCCTGCCCTAAAAAATGAGAAGCTATATATTCCACAGTCATCATGGGACATTATGCTCCTAGGTTTACAAGCTTCTAAGATTCTCTTCAGAATATGGGTTAAAACTAAGCAGCTAATACCAAGTCATGCTGCTAAGTTTTCAAAATGTGCAGTAATTAGACATGATTAGGCAACTTTGAATAGTTTTTAAAAAATATATGTCCATATAGAAATTAGCATTAAACTGCCCAGAACACCAAACTGGACCTTAACAAATACAGCATTACTTGAGACAAAAGAAATATAATGTTGCATCTATAAAAGAAGGGATGGGACGGATTTGCTATTTTACTTCTCCAATTCTACTTTGCCAAATAAATTCCCATTTACCTAGGTGATGGCGGCAAACTTGCGCATAAAGTTTGAGTCTGGAATGATTGTCATTCTCCTCGCCGCTCCAAGGCTGGTTAAACCACTCACTCACAAGCTCATCTGTCAGCTTCTGTGCCACAGTTTTTCCCACGCGCATGATCCCGTCACGTAGCACTTTGCAGATGGGCTTGTGCTGCCCAAGCCTACACATCTGATATCATAGACAAGATCATTAGTTATAACAGGAGCCATTCCTTCATTCAGTACCAATGGTTAGCAAGGGAGATTCTTTAACATACATATGGAAGCATTTTCCTTTTTCTTTTAGGGTTATCACATGCAATCAAACCAACATTACAAGTTGGTCCTTTCAGGTAATTGTAATGTACCCTTAAATTGCTATCTGTCTCTCTAAAACTTGGACTAGGCTCTCTAAAAAAAAAAATGTTTCTTCACTCAAGCCAATTCCTCCTGTACAAGAGGAGGCTGCTGAACACTACCTGATTGCTAACGGACAAAGAATTAGCAGATTCCTGCCTACTGTTGCTAACTGAGACATATGCCCACTAAAATCTCCTAAGTAATCCCTACTCATAATATTTTCCCATAAGATAACATTAAAATTTTATGGGCCATCTGTTCTGTTACAGACATTTGGAGATCACCAATAGCAGGGGCCACTGAAGCAGTGAGTATGCTGATCGCCTTTTTTTTTTTTAAAGTAAATAGGACAAGGAGATTCTGCTATTAATCTCCATGACGCTAAATGGGTGCTTATGGCAGGGAATATAATAAACCTGCAAAAAGTAAACTACCTGTTCACCAGCAGGAGAGCCCGTATTATTATCCCTTACTAGAGTAGATGAAGTGAAGGCTTACTAAGCCCCGACAAAATCCTCTAGTGTATACTCTTCCTAAGGAGGTATCAATTACTGCCGAATAAGCAACCCTAGTGAAGTCATTAAGAAAAATTTAAAAGAGTGTCTGTCTGTACCCTCTTAAAAAGATCTGGCAGTGCTTTTTACATTTTGTAACTTATGTTGAAGGTTCCATTCAAGGAAATGGCTGGGCTTTAAAACTGCTTACACAAATTTTCTGTTAATTATGATTTAATAGTATTATATATGCCCTGACCAGACACTGTTCAGAAATGAATGTATCCAAGGCAGTGACTTAATTGATGTCATTACATCATGTTAGCATCTCCTCATTTCTTTGTAGCAACAACGTAAATTTACTATTCCGTGCCTACTCATACATTTATAGATCATGAATGTCCTGTTTTGGAATATTTTGCAATTCAGCTTGGAATCTTATTTAAAAACCACTTTCATAATGTTTACATGCCTATCATAGTACTAAATATTTTACAGATATTAATTTCATTTTGCTGAATACAAAGACATTAGATGTATCAGATACAAAGAACTTAGTGCATATATACTTTGGCATAAGAAATGTGGCACTTATTCTTCAAAGACAGACATGATTCTATTTTTTTTAAAGCAACAGGAATTCATATACTAAAGATGTAAAATTATCTGCCTGGTTTTTACATTATTATAGGAATTATATTTTTAATCAGTATCAAAGTTTCAGTATTAAGATGTCATGTTAAAACACAACAGGGACATTATTCATTAAACTTATGTTTCAATTCAGAAATTTGCAAAAGACACATTTTTACACTGTTGTCAGGAACTCTCACCTACTCACCCTGTCCCTCAATCCATCCAGTAAATAAATACAAAGAGTAGATGTGCTCTTTTGGTAAAGCTCATCTTCTACATAGCCACACTTTCCCCTGGTGAGCAATATTCTTCAACTTTTAGCACATAAATGGAGAAGAGAGAACTGATGGGATTTTAAGACGTGTGGTAAGAATGGGAGGGGAACGTTTTCTAAATCTAACAAATATAAAGCAAAGATGGGAAAGCAATTTGCTTCCAGAAAAATTGGCCAATTCAATTCTCTTCTTCATCCACCTGTTTGCAAATTTTCTCTGAGATTTACTTTCAAGACATTTGTCTTGAAATTTAGTCATCACTATAAACAATCAGAGGATCCAAGTCATAAAAAGCAATTTTCACAGTAACTTCCTCACCTCGTATACAGCACTCAAGTCCCTGAAGAAAGTTTTGGCTCCTTCGAGCAAGGCCTCATTTTCTGGACACACCACAATATAGGCAACATCACGGTGGCCCCCATATGGGTCCAACAAGAGCCTCTCCCAAAACGGCAAGGAGAATGGCGAGATGGTGAGGAAATCCTTGTCATAGCCTACCAGCAGAGTGGGGATGGGCAACGGCTCAGGAGATTCTTCCGAACCTAAAATGACATTGTAGTGTAGAAAGGTGCTAGAGAGTTTTTCCCACAACCTTACAATTTTGAAATTCCTGGTGCACTGGTCTTAATTCTGGCATCTGAAATGTCACTCCATGTTCACAAGACATTCTTAAAAGTATTTTTGAAATCATCTAATTAAATGGTCACTGATGAGGACTCTTAATTAAGTAAGTCAGAATTTGTTTATAAAGGTTCAGTAAGATCAGAGGGCAGACTAGAACAAGTTAAAATTAACTTTCCAAGCAGCACTACATCATTTCCTTCAAGATAAGCATTATGATTCTGACTATGATGAAGTAGACAGAACTGGCCCAGAAGTCCATCCAGATGAAAATGCAGTGAGGATTGGGAAAATGAGGAGAATCTAAAAAATGCACTTTTTAGGGATTAGCTTCCTCACTGACCTGGATTATGCCAAGGGTGGTAGGAAACTTGACTCCAAAAGTAACTTTAGGAAAACAAAGAGATTATAAAACTAAATGGTCAAAGAAAAAGACTCCCCTATTTTGTTAGTGACGCAAGGACTTGACAGTAACTAACGCTGCTCTTCACTGAACAGCACTGAAGTCAGAAGGAATTTTAAACAGGACAAAGACCCTACCGTAGGTTCCCCGTCCTGCCATTTTATGGAACTGCTGCCAAGTGAGTGGTCCCTGCACATGCTGGATGTTCTCCCAGGTCCTGCCCGTGCGCTTCTTTTGGATGGCATCTTGGAGAAAGGGCTGCAGGGACAACAGCATACGAACCACATCCTGGGAGGAGAGCATGCTGATGTCCAGCACTGGAAGAGAAGTGAGAAGAAACAGAGAAGATAAGGGGGCTAGCACCCTCCTCTTCCTCACCATCACCTCGAGCCTCAGTTATATTCAGAACAATGACGTTATTAGCTGTAGTAGATTCTAAAATATTTGACTTAGGAGTCAGGAGGAAAGATATTCTTCTACTAAATTAGAGAAAATAATTGATAATTTAGTATCAACAATAATAAAAGGGGAAATGGATTACTCTATATAAAAAAGTTTAATGGAAGAATTGTTTAAAAGTGGAAAAATGGATAGGTGCGACTTTTTAAAACCATGGAAATCTGTTTCCAAGGATTTTCATAAGACAGCTGCAAAAGTTTCTTAATTATTACTTTTATTTGCAAATATCAATGTTTTGTTTATATGATAAGTAGGAAAAAATGGAACTTAAATAAAAGCTTTTAAAAACTCTTTAAATGCTCCTAATTGTAAAAATATTTTCACAAAATACAGAATGCATGAAGAGAAGGCCAATCTTCAGTGCAGCCAGAGGCACAGGGAAACACAGCTGAAGCCCTCAAGGACCGAAGTCCGCTGCAGGCACGGATGGGATTCACTGCCTTCTAAATGCAGATGACTTTAGTCCCAGCAGTCGCCCTGGGGAGGGATTTCTAACCTAAAATTTGAAAGTTGTCTGAACTCCATGCAAAACTGTGCAAGCACGCTTGGACATACGTATTTTTTTCTCAGGATGGAGGGTTCATCATGCAAATCAGATTCTTAAAAAGGTCTGCAGAAAGAGCTAATGACGCTGGAGGTGATGTGGTGTGAATCTGCACAGCTGGATTCCTGAAGACTCTGCCTCCCTCTTACCCTTCTAGCTGATGAGGGAAGGGGCATGGAAAGAAATCTAAGATTTATCTGCCAACTAAATTTGAAACACAGGATGATTAAGGATTCTTAAGACATTTTCAAACGTGTCCCTAAATCAGTAAAACACAGGTTGCAAAGTGGTGGTCCACAGAATATTTTGTTAAACTTTGGAACAAATCACTCCAGGAAATTTCACACACAAATCTAGATTGCCAGCTTCCCTTGAACTGGGAGACCCATATTCCTGCATAACCACCACTTGCTGGAGCTGAGGAGCAGCTGTCCCTCTCAGGCACCTCATGGCCCCTTCCCTGCTGTCTGTCCTGAGTCTGATGCAGTTTTCATTGCCTTTTATCTTCAGCCAGTGCTTCTTTTTACATATAGTAAACAACAACAGTGAATACTTCTTGTATTAATGGCTCTATCAAAAGCAGGAAATCACAGACCAAGAGAACCACAGATTTGAGGAAACTAAAAGCAAGCACGTTTCTTATGAACCCTATTCCTGTGCCTGCAAAATAGAAAGTGAGTTTTGAAAAGACAGCTTAAGGCACTGCCTTTTGCAAATGTCTCCCATCACATTCATTTACATTATCTGGTACTTTTAGGCATCTTAAAATTTGAAACCCAGACCTCCCCTGCAATAAAATGTCTTATTTTTCATCCTGAAAGACGACACCACTGATTCATGCACACAGACTGCTTTTCTGTCCGAAGGCCTATCTAGTAAAAGGACTCACCCAAGCTGATCATCCACATTTCTTTAGGGGAAAGGCTGCATTTTCTTCACTTCATAAATTCATTCAGTAGAAACTGATTAAGGGTCTGCTTAAGTATAAGGCACTGTGCTTGAACCTAAGCAGTTATACAAATGAGCATAACCCTTTAATGCTTTCTTAGTCATCTCTACCTCCATGAAAGCTTCCTTGATTGGCCTAGTCAGAAAATACCCATCACTCCCCATACTCTACTGACCTCTGGACATACTTTTAATTACTTCAGATTTCAAACTGTATTTAAGAAGCTTATATAACTTTCTTCCCTGCAAGACTGAGAGTTGTTCAGAAGCCGGGTTCGCACATCATTCACACAACCCTTCCAGTCTGGCCTCTGCTCCCACCACTCTACAGAAACAGCTCTCACCACGGTCAGAAGACATGTTTAATCCTTATCTTAAAATCTTCACTTGCATTTTAATGCCTGTCAATCACTTCCTCTTTCTTGAAACACTGGCTACCCCTGGCTTCCAAAAGCCCCCTCTATGGTTCTTCCTTCTCTGCTTGATAGGCTCACGCTTCTCTGCCTCACCTATACCCGTCAGAATGTAGCTAAGCTCTACCAGGTCCTCTTCTCGTCTATACTTTTCTCCTCCTCCTCAATGAGCTCATCTGTGCCCCCTTAATTGAAGTTATCACCTATATGCCAACCACTCCCTCTCCCCTGAGCAAAAGGCCCAAGAGTCTACTTGATACCTCTACCTGGATATATCAAAAGGGATCTTTAAAACTTCCAAACTTCCACAACTCAATTTATAAACTTTCTCTCCAGATATAGTCTTATCTTTGAACACCACTGACTATCCAGGTATACAAGTAACAAATCTGGGACTCCTCAACATCTCTCTTTCCCTTATCCCCAAAACTCAACTCACTATTGAGTCCTGCAATAATATTTCTTCTCCACCTTCTTCACAAGGACACTAAGGCAAGCTATTGTTTCTTACTAGGTCTTCCTCACTAACCTCCTTGTCTCCCCAAATCCATTCCTGCCACTTTCTAATCCATACCCAGAATTATAGCCAGTGCACATTGTTATTTTTCCTTTTTAACTACACAAATCTGACATCAGTGCTTCTTCTTAAAACCTTTCAATGACTTTGTATTGCTTTTTGCAGGAAGACCCAACCCCTAGCATGCCTCTAAAGAGTCACTGTAATCTAGCCCCTGCATGCTTCTAACCTCGCGTCAGTTTCTAAAGGCCCCAAGCTCCATACAACCAAGGGCCTTCCCACTTGCAGCACCTCCTGTCTGGGACACATGCCTCGCTCCCCATTCTCCTTCCTCAGTTAATGTGTACTCATCATTGAGATCTCTGAGCAAATGTTACTACTTCTACAACGAAGTCTTCTCTGACCTTCAGCCTAGAGTGCCCCGTCTATCCCATGCTTTTATCACTTATAAAATGGGTTGTAATAATATGCGTGCTTGTGTAATTATTTAATTGATGTCCACTTCCAGAATAGATTAGAAAGTCCATGAGGGTAAGTGCCTTGTTTCTTTCAGTAACCATTTTATCCCCCATGATGCATTGCAGTTTAGGCAGTGAATGAGTAAGAAAAGGAAACAGCAAGTTGCTTGGCACTCTTACAGCCCAACTTCACTGGAGCTTTTAATAATACAACCAGTTATATGCCCCAGTAACCACAATGCAAAGTAAAATGTGATTTTGTTATAAGTGATACAACAAAGGGGGAAAACAGAGAAGGGAGAAGAGACTCTGGAAATGGCTAGAAGGCTTCATGGAAGAGGTTCCTTGGAAACTTGATCTGGAAGAATGGTGGATTTAAGCATGCAAGAGTGTGCAAATTATCAGTCTGTAAGCTCCTGACGACTCTGATACTCAGCGGTCACAGGTTCCCAACATAGACTGCTTACTTATGAGTTACAAGAGGAAAATTTCAGAAAACAATTACTCTTCTCCAAAGGCATTTCAATATAAAACATTCTCCCAGTCCATAAGTTTAGGATAAAATCAATACAGCTCTCACTTTAGGTTCTTTTTTTTCCCCCGAAAGACATGAAATTAAAATTTTTTGTCAAATACAGTAAAGAAAGCTTTTAAGTTATGATCATACCAAGATACTCCTCAAAGTAAATTTGTGTTCTGGGACACCTACCATTGCTGTGAGGCCAAGAGTGCACAGTGGCACTTCTCACCAGAGCTTCGTCCACTTTTCCACCAGTGGGGTTATCCACATACTGCCGCCCCTGCTCCAACGCATTAAAGCATTCCGTCCAGTAATCATTATTATCTGCTTGCACCCGGTCATAACTCCAGCTTACACAGGGAAGAGTTTGGCGATTGTTAGAGGAAATGTAGTCCAGGAAATTCAGTGAAGCAAAAGGTTGTGTGTGTTGATTCTGGAGGAGGAGGAGAAGGCTTATGGGTGGCTCCTGGGGTTTTTTGGTTCCTTCCACCTGAGGAAGGAAGGTGGACTGACACATCATTAAGCGCCTCTCTGCAGCCTGACCAATATCAGAATTCTTCCCAAAAATATCCAACTCATCTTCAAGGAAGAGTCCTGAATTGTAGCCAAGTTTGCGGTTCATAATCGCACTAAACCCACAGGTACAGCGGTACTGGTCCTCATTGGAAGAATCGGGGATGTAAAGCCCGACATCCGCCCCTTTGATGTTCATGTTGCAGGCACAGATGCAACAGCTGTCAAAGTTTCTGTCTTTAAAGATATTCATCACGGAATCGGAGAGAATCAGGGTAACATAGAGGCTGTGGGCTTCGGGAATTGGCTGCATGGTGGCGGGCTCCACAGAGTTGAGGGGCCGTGTAGTAGAGGGGGTGGAGGCTGGTGATCCTTGATCGGTGCTATCATACTTAACAGACCCTTGACCACTGGCAGTGCCCCCACCTCTGGGAGTTCTTGGGGTCCTGGGGGTTCGTGGTGTGGGGACAGAGAAGCGAGGGGTTGCTGGAGATGGTAGGACTCCTGCCCCACTATTGCTGGCTGGGGCAGCGCTGTTCAACGTCACGGGTGTGTTCATCTGTGGTGTGTTCAGATAGTCTGGATCTGCTAGGCTCCCAACACTAGGCACGTTACTACAAAAAGAGAAGGCACCAAGTGAGGAAGGGCAGCATGTCACAGATGCTGAACTAGACACATGATCACCCCAGCCATGTACTGTGTATTTCTTATCATTTGTTTCTGCTATCACTGGGATACACTGGTATATTTAATTTTCTCTTAAAAAAAAAAAAGAAGATACAAAGGTCAGTGCAGTGTGTAGAGAAGAAGAAAGTAAGGTATGAAGAATAATTCAACACAGCACTTTCCTTCTACTTATTCCACATATAAGCATCCTCATCCTAACCTCTTGAAGGAACTTTTACTATTTTTATAAGAAAACATGGTACTGGGTTTGGTCAATGTAATTTGAAAAGTTAACTACTAAATGGAACTTCAACCATAAGTGCAGACACTAAATTAGCTAGAGGACCATAGGATGAAATTTCCATCTAATTTGCAATTACATTTTTGTCATTTTTTTTTTGAAATTCAAAGTCTGCCAGTGTACTTGTTCTCTGAGGCTATAATCTATATATCATATCAAAGTAGTTATAATCAAATACACATGAAAATTTAACATTTTTCTAATTTTCAAAATGCAGCCCTATCTAGGCTTACATTTTTATAGTAATGAGTGACCATGAGGGAATTATATTTTAGGTAGCCCATTTACCAGTACTATACTACAACTGATAGAAATATTACATATGCGGCTAAGAGGCCTCAGTATTAATTAGGTGGTTGCACAGAAGTACACATACTGTATCAGAGTTTCCAGCTTCCAGCAGCTTTCTGTGGGGTGGTAAGCACTTCATTTTTCACTTTTCAATATGGTATGCATTGCATATAGTGTAATTATTTTAGTTGCCCAAGACTGACTGGGCTATGTTATCTACTTTCTCATAAGCAGTGACTTCTTTTTGGAACAGCTAGGCAGAAAACACTGTCTGCAAGGTTCTGCTGTTTCATTATCATAAAACATTTTCTTGATATACAGTTGGCCCTCTATAGCCACAAGTTCCACATCTGTGGATTCAGCCATATACAGATGGAAAATCAAAATAAAAATACAATTAAAAAAAAAACAACAGTTAAAAAACACAAATCAAAACAGTAAAGTACAACATTTATATAGCATTTACATTGTATTAGGCATTACAAGTAATCCAGAGATGACTTAAGGTATACAGAGGGATTTGTGTAAATTACAAGGAAATACTCTGCCATTTTATATAGGGTACTTGAGCATCTTCAGATTTTGGTATCCGAGGGGGTCCTGGAATCAATCCCCCAAGGATACCAAGGGACAACTGTACTTTCTTAGATGTATATGTATATTAGCATATGAGTCCATTCTTCCTACTTAGAAGGTATCAAAAGAATATTTTTAAAATTTTTTAATATCCTTTTATATATATTAATACTGTACTTAAACTAATGCTCCTCCAATAAACTACATATTCAGTTACTTATAATGTGAAAGAAGCACGTCATAAAGAAATGTCTCTTCAAATAATTTCCTTGTGATTTTTAATTAGCTATGCCTAAACTACCAGCCTAAAAGTCCAAATCAGGCACTGTAAAGAAATATTAAATCTGAGGCACAGTGGTATCTTTGAGTACAGATAAAAAAAAAAAAATGACCCAGAAAACTTGATTGGCAATCACTGCTCTCTTAGAGACCAAAATAGTTAAGTGTGTAATAACGATCTTTACTCTAACTGGACTCCTTTCAAATTCTCCTGTTCAACAAAACCCTAAAATTATTACGCAGTTCAGATCAGAAAAGGAACTATGAGTACTAACTGAAAACCTAAAGAATTAAATTGCTCCCTGGGTAGTAAGAATGGTTTATCTTGTAATCTGATTTTTCCCATTTAATAAAAATGAACTGAGTAGCAACCCTACGCTAGAAGCTGGATAGTCAAAAGTGAAAAAGAGAAACAAAAGGTGGCTCATAAGCAAGTATGGCAGACATGAAGCAAATGATTGCAGGGGTATTGCATGTGACAAAGGAGGAGTCCAGGGTGATGGCGAGCAGAGACCACAGCAGGATTACACATATGCTGGAAACATACTGTCCAATAAGGTAGCCACCAGTCCCCATGTCCTAAATTTAAATTAATTAACATAAAACAATTCAGTCTTGGTCTCACTAGCCACATTTCAAGTGGTCAACACCTGCAGCAGGAAGCTGATGACTGCCATAGTGGACAGTGCAGACAGGAATCACCTACATGCCAGGTGCAGTAGCTCATGCCTATAATCCCAACACTTTAGGAGGCCGAGGCAGGAGAAACACTTGAACCCAGGAGTTCAGGACCAGTGTCGGCAACACAGGGAGACACAAACTCTACAACAAAATTTCATAAAAATTAGCTGGGTGTGGTGGCACGTGCCTGTAGTCCCAGCTACTCAGGAGGCTGATGTGGGAGGATCACTTGAGCCCAGGAGGTCAAGGCTGCAGTGAGCTGTGATTGTGCCACTGTACTCCAGCCCAGGTGACAGAGCGAGACCCTGTCTCCAAAAAACCCCCCCAAAAAACAAAAACAAAAACAAAAACAAAACCTTCATCACATAAAGTTGTATAATAGAGCCAGTTAAGAATACAAAGAATCTTTGGGATGGCAAATGAAAGATGTAATAGATCTAAATAATGACCTAAATGATTTAAACGATTACACAGCAAAAGCTTGCATGTGACCTTTTTGGGGAAACCTGTATGTATGAAAGAGATTAAACTGCTGAATGGGTTCTTAAAACTGCTATGTCATTTATTGGCAACTGTATGTGCTAAGCTAACCCCTTATGCGCCAAGGTGTTCTAGGTGTGTTGTGCCAGGATCTAGCTGAGTAAGCTAGAGTACAATCGGAGCACAGCAGCAGCACACCAGCCAGGCGCTCAGGGTGCTTTTCAGCACACTCTTTATACTGCTGGTGCATTGTTATTTCCACGGTACTTCTACAGTCATTAGTCGTTGAAGCATTGTGGAAGTCCTGTGCGGGAGGCAGAGCAGGATTACTCCATTTTAAAGGGAAGACCCACGTAAAATGGTCATTTAAGGTCATGCATATAATTTTTGCAAGGCAGGAATTTCAGTCTTATTAATACTGCAAGTGTAGCTTCCTAAGTCTAGGATTCCTCTGTACTTTTCTGTCACCGTTTTTCTTTCTGACACTGACTTTATATACACAAGCAGGAAGTCTTGTTACGACATTAAAATTAACTTCATCAGGATGATTTTACAGAAGGTCACAAACTTGCAGCCCAGAGGCTGAGGCTGGACCACAAATTTGTTTTATTGGTTCCTTAAGCTCAGCACAATGGTGCTGAGCATCAGTAGTACCAACTCTTTTGCATTTACCCTGTCCATTTCATCTATATATTGCTTACCTGACCACAGCAGAAATCTGAATTTGTGGCCTTTTCTATCAATCAAATCACTTTATTTATTAAGAAATTATTCATCACAGGGAAAACTGATTCCATCATTGTTTAGCCTATCTGTTTGTTTTTGTGACAGGGTCTTGCTCTGTCGACCAGGCTGGAGTGCAGTAGTGCAATCTTGGCTCACTGCAACCTCCGCCTCGTGAGTTCAAGTGATTCTCCTGCCTCAGCCTCCCAAGCAGCTGGGTCACAGACACACACCATCATGCCCAACTAAATTTTTGTATTTTTTGTAGAGACAGGGTTTCGCCATTTGCCCAGGCTGGTCTCAAACTCCTGAGCTCAAGCAATCCATCCACCTCGGCCTCCCAAAAGTGTTGGGATTACGGTTTGAGCCACCGCACCCGGCCCTAGCCTATCTTCAACATATTCAGAACACTTACATTGGCCTACCATTGGGGAAATCATCTAACTCAAAGCCTGTTTTACAATAAAGTGCTGACTATCTCGTGTAATTTATCAAATACTGTACTGAAAGTAAAAAACAGATCGGTTGTATGGGTTCTCAAAGTACAGCATGTCCTGAACGTGTATTACTTTTACATCATCAAAAAGTCAAAAACTCCTGAGTAAATCCACTGTAAGTCAGGGACTGTCTGCATACAAAATTTCATTTAGAAAATAATGCACATTTTCCAGCACAAAATAATTTGCACAAAAACATGAACGACCAATAAAGGAAAGTTTCAAATGATATGCTACTTGTCATCATTTTTTCTTTCTTTTTTTTCTTTCTGAGACAGAGTCTCACTCTGTCGCCCAGGCTGGAGGGCAGTGGCGCGATCTTGGCTCACTGCAACCTCCACCTCCCGGGTTCAAGCGATTCTCCTGCCTCAGCCTCCCGAGTAGCTAGGATTACAGACTCCTGCCACCAAGCCCAGCTAATTTTTTGTATTTTTAGTAGAGACGGGGTTTCACCATGTTGGCCAGGCTGGTCTCAAACTCCTGACCTCAAGTGATCTGCCCGCCTCCACCTCCCAAAGTGCTGGGATTACAGGCATGAGCCACCGCGCCCGGACCTTGTCATCATTTTTAACAAACATTTAGTTAAGATAAAAATTGCATCAAATATGGCAAGTAAATGACACAATCCCTATACATACTTGTAGCCATCTCTAATGAAAGTGGCTGCAGGGGGCATGGGCAGTTGTTCAATTTTAGGAGGAATTGCCCATGAAGGCCGAAACAGACAGGCATCAGGTATCTTCAGAGGTAGCAAACAATGGCTCGGCAACATCTTCAGTGGAGCAAACATGGAGGATCCCACAAAAGGTTGAAAGGATGGAACTTTGTGCACATATGAAAAGTCCTGTGACAACAAAGTGGGGTCAGTGTTAATATTGGTAAACTCTGTAGAACACACCACAGTGGCATAGTGCTATCATAAAAACAGCAACCAAAATGATCGTATTTCAGTATTTCTCTCCTATGATCATTAGAAAATGCTAATGCAGAAATGTTAAATCAATCAAAAGACACTATTTAATATGCCTGCTGGTGTGCCTCATGTTCTAATTAAAAGGATTCTTAGGAACTTATGTATATATGGCACACAGACAATACCATTTTAAAGCAGATGTATGTGAATCCACTTGGAAACTGCTCTGCCCTGGAAATGTTAATATATTGACAACTACCTTAATTTCCTCGGGCTTGGGACTTCCTAATCCATCTTCCACTTCCATTTTGAATTCTGTGAGTTGTGTTGAAACCATACTGACCATAGGGCTCTCCATCATGCCTAATGCTGTCACTGTCTCTGAGCTGATCCCATCTTTATAATTCATCACAGGAGAAAATGCAGGATGCTGTTCCAAAGATGGTGGAGTGGGAAACATCCTTTGCAAGTCTGCAACTGCTAAAAATAAGAAATAAAAAAAATTTGTTTAATAGGAAGGGCTTCTAAAAAGTCCTAGCTTATAGCCAGGCGCACTCTTTGGCACCAAAAATAGTGCTAATTAAATGATCACATCAGTTCACAAAAGAATATTAATAATGGAAGTGACTAAGAAGAAGGCCATCAGCAGAGAATTATCTTTTTCTGGGTCTTGTTTTGTTTTGTTTCGTGAGACAAAGTATCACTGTATCACCCAGGCTGGAGTGCAGTGGCCTGATCTTGACTCACTGTAACCTCTGCCTTCCTCGTTCAAGCAATTCTTGTGCCTCAGCCTCCCAAGTAGCTGGGACTATAGGCACGTGCCACCATGCCCAGCTAATTTTTGTATTTTTGGTAGAAACAGGGTTTCACCATGTTGCCCAGGCTGGTCTCGAACTCCTGGGCTCAAGTGGCCCGCCTGCCTCGTACTCCCCAAGCGCTGGGATGGCAGGTGTGAGCCACTGTGCCTGGACTTTTCTTGGTCTTTATCACTAACTTCTTGATGCTTTATGGTCTGGCTTCACATTAATTAAGTAAACAAAGTCTACATAACTTGTATGTTTCTTCCAACAACTGATTCCCTGAAAAGTCTAAGGAGAGGAATTAAACAGAAAGTGGAAGCAATTAGATAGTTACCACTACTAAAGTTCTATCCCTGCTTTCAAGTATGTATAAAATATTACAAAAAATAAAAATTGTTTGGAGCTGATTACTCAGCTAGTTTGACAAATCCACTACACTTACAGCTGCTCTTTTGGGGAAACTCACAGCTGCTCTTTTGGGGAAACAGTTCCATATTTTTTCCAGACAGATATTAAAATGAAACTTCAAAGTTTCTTTTAAGAAATACTTAGAACAGCGGTTCTGAACTCCTTCTTTAAAAAAAAAGTTTCCTTTAATACACCTGTAGTAAAAAATTATCACTACAGTAGTTCATTAAGGCACTGATTCTTAAAAAGTAGACCTATTGAAAAGTTGTAGTTGTAAAATTTGGCCACTAGGGGGTGGCCTATGCAGCAAATTTTTTAAGTTTGGAGCCACAGGTTTTTAAATCAGTGATTTAATGTCCCAGTTTCCTATCCTATTGCTCTTTCCAACAACTTCAAGATTTAAACAGACCAATAATAACCACTGAATCACTAAGATCTGACTCCTAGCTCCGAATCAGAAATTAACACTGGGCAACTGTACCGTGCTGTGCTCACGGCTACCCAGTCCAGGTGCTGGGGACTTAGATCTGCTGTGGTCAGGTCACTTCCCCCCTTGGGGCCTTGGTTCCTTCATCTAACAGGGAAGGCAGGGCTAGATGGATGACTCTCAATGGGCCTACTTGCTTTGCTTTGTTTGTGAGGGGAGAGGAAAGCTTTCAAACACCTCAGCATATGGAGGCAGAAGAAAAGGTGAGAACTTCTGAATTACATAATCTTTACCGTGTTTCTAAGTGAAACAACTGTATAATCCTAAATCATTTAGCCTCTCTTGGCCTGTGGAGTTATTTGTAAAATAAGGAGAGGGAGAGGCCAATCAGCAGGGTTGTTAATTCCAACATTCATTTCCATTAGCGATGCTCCACTGCTACTTATTTTCTATAATAGGAATCTGTATCTGATTTCATTATACAAAAAAGTACCTGCTGCTTCTAAAAAAAAGAAGAAGAAAAAACTAAAAATCCCAAGTTGATCTTCAAGGCACCTTAAAAATTTATAGAAGTAGAAACATGAGCCAAGCCAAACAAGAAACTGGCAGAAAACTATTTGAGAGGCTACATAACCGATACACTCTGAGGTGGAAAAACAGGACTTAAAATGTAGCAGGAACCAGATCAGTAAGTTTTCTTTAAAACAAAGCCAAGATCTTTAATATAAAGTTAGTCTACACTGGAGGCCGGGTGGGATAGCTCACACCTATAATCCCAGTACTTTAGGAGGCCAAGGCAGGCAGATCATTTGAGGTCAGGAGTTCGAGACCAATCTGGGCAATATGGCGAAATCCTGTCTCTATTAAATAAATACAAAAATTAGCCAGGCATGCTGGCAGGAGGCTGAGGCACAAGAATCTCTTCAACTGAGGTGGCAGAGATTGCAGTGAGCCGAGATCTCGCCACTGCAATCCAGCCTCGGTGAAAGAGAAAGACTCTGTCTCAAAAAAAAAAAAAGTTCATCTACGCTTGAAATAAATCCATCACCTTTAACCTTTAGTCCCTATTCCTCCTCTCAAGCCGAAGAACAGCTACTACAAAACTGTAATATAATTTGAGTTATATTTTAAAACATAATTCTGCTTCATAAAATCTTCAAAGTCACATTGCCATAAATCTTAATAGCCAGTGTAGCTCTTTGTGAAGTACAGAAATTGTATAAATTCTCTTTAAGTTAAAAGGATGAGCTTAAACATAGCCTTTCTTATAAGTATCCTATGACACAAGATTTTGCAAAAAAAAAAAAATAGTTCTATTAAATTTGTTTTTACATTTCCTGTAAGAAACATAATAAAGGCATTTCCACCCACTTAGTGTTAGCTGACTTCTTTGATCTTCCTGAACGCACGCATATATCTCAGTTTTCAAAGCCTCAGCCACCCTGTTAATTTTAGCAAAGGTAAACAGAGAACACACAAAAAAGCAGGGATGAAATTCTACCTCCAAGAGAGTCACTTTATAAAGTGGTCTTTATCATTGTTACTATCAGATATTCTTAAGGAAGACTCAGTCTGTCTCACTTCAATTTCCTAATCCGTAAAATGGGAAAAATATCTACTTCATATTTTTTGTGCATATTGAGATAATGTATGCTCAGAAGTGAACACTTTGCTGCAAACATCTAAACATTCAGCAAATGATGAACTCAGTACAAATTAATTCTCCCTCCCAAACCTGGATTGGAAAAAGATGGAACCACTGTCAAGTTTTGGGACTTTCTGAAAATATATGACCCTAAAGAAATTTTGAGATGACCAAAGGGAATCGGACTCAAAGTGGGTAAAGCAGAAAGAACACACAGACTCCAAGAAACACTTTGGTCCTCCAAAATAGAAACATGATTTGTCTCTTCAATTTTCTTCCCAGAAAACGGCTAAAGCAAGGGTGGAAACAGCCACCAGGACGGACTGGAGGTGAGCTGTGCTGCCCACAGCGCTCTGCTTACTCCCATCCTGCCTATCTCTGCACTTCAGCGGGAACTCATAAGACACCCACCTGCTCCTGCCCAGCACTTTATGTATTCATGCACAGGATGGAAGACCTCCAACAAAGCAGCATTGTTGATTTCTTAGTGTTCTCCTCACCCCAGAGCACATGCCCAAGTCCCTTCCAAACCGTAAGGACTCTTGGAAAATAAACAAATGAACCAACCCCAAAATCCAACTCTTTCCTTTTGTCTATTCAAAGACTCATACTTTAAACTGATGTGCTTTCAAATGCGAAAATTTGTAAGAAAGTGGTTAATAATAAAACCTAATAAAAACATGTTTTTACTATAACACAATACTACCTTAACATAAACTTGATATTAAAGTAAACCTATTTGTCACTGTTTGTTGCTGTCTTCAGCATTACATTCACAAATGAATAATGAGGAACCTATGCTTTCCAACACAATATCCACTGGCCACACGTGGCTACTGAGCACCCAAAATGGGGCTTGACCAAATAGAGATGGGTTGCATATGTAAAACATACACTGTATTCCCAAAACTTCATACCAAAAAAAAAAGTAAAATATGTACAACCATTATATATTACATTTTTATAAAAAAAGTGAAATACTGCAATAATTTTATACTAATTACATGTAAAAATAATATTTTGGATACTTAAATAAAATACTGTATATTATTAAAATTAATTTCTTTTTTTAAATAGCCACTAGAAAATGTGAAATTGCACATGTGGCTCTCATTTGTGGCTTCCCTTGTGTTTCTACTGGACAGTGTTGTTTAGACATTAATTTTGTTTTGTTTCTGTTTTTTGAGATGGAGTCTTGCTCTGTCGCCGAGGCTGGAGTGCAGTGGTGCTATCTCGGCTCACTGCAACCTCCGCCTCCTGGGTTCAAGTGATTCTCCTGCCTCAGCCTCCCGAGTAGCTGGGATTAGAGGTGCACACCACCATGTGGTGCCAAGTTTTGTATTTTAAGTAGAGATGGGGTTTCACCACGTTGGCCAGGTTGGTCTCCAACTCCTGACCTCAAGTAATCTGCTCACCTTGGGCTCCCAAAGTGCTGGGATTACAGGCTAGACATTAACTTTTATAATACATTTGTCTTCCCACTGCAATGCCCAAAAATCTATTGCTGAGATTAAAATATCTTGCCAGGCTATTTTCATTGTCATTTCTTGGGAGGAAATACTGTGTGTTCCCCTCACTCCCCCACCCCATCCCACAAATACATATGCTCTCACGAACACATATTTATATATATGCTTTGTACACATTAAAATGATCCTCTGTATTCTTGCATATCTGGGTTTTCCTGGTGTTAATATTCTGTGCTACATTTCATATTGATTCGTTTTTATAACGTGCACTTTATCATAAAATTTTGAATTTTGAGTAGCTTCTTTTTGAAATAATTCTTTTTTGGATAGAAATGAGAGAAAGGATAGAGCACACAATATACTTCACTTGGCAATGCTGCTAACTAGCAGGATGTCTGCGAGTGAAAAGCCTTGGCTGAGTTATCAGACATTCTAACATTTCACATCACTACGCATCACGTCATGTCAAAAAGGGTAAAGGATCAATGGATTCAAAAAAGAGGAAAAACTCACTCATCTGACCTGCACATATCTATTTTAATACTGTTTCTTTTAATCTGTGAAGTTCCATGTTTGTGAAATTCTGCAGTGCAGAGTAATAAAACAAGAAAAATGTTTAACTAAAAAAACTACAGCAACGGGCTGGCTATCATTATTCATTTTCACCCATGTCATGCTTGAGAAAGCTTTGCATATTTTAAAAAGCTATGGATCCACTAAAGCTGTCAAAATCCAATCTCTGTATACTTCCCAACTTCTAGATTTGAGTAAATCAGCACTACATTTATAGGTTCATAAAGCTTTTTGACTCATCCCTATGACATGGTGGTTTTTCCCCTCAATTTGTTCTCATTACCAGCTGAAGTTAATGAGAAGGTGTTAAAGAATGATTTGCAATGGAATTATGTTTCTGCTTCAGAGTATCCACATAAGCTACCCTTTTTTTTCCTCTTGTAGAATAATTTGGTTTCTTAGGGCAAAGAATATACTCAAAAAAAAGAGGTTCATCTCTTTGTCAGCATATATGGTAAAACTAGTTGATCTCAAAAGGAAACACAAAAACTTTAGTATGCATCTTGAAAAGGACCACTGAAATCAAATATCCAATATCCTTGAGTGAATTATATTTATAAAAACAGAAACATTTTACACAGTCTTATAATAGAGTATCAGTTTGAAAAATCACTTGTGCAGCATTTATTCTACTAGGAAAGGACTATTAGAAAAACAAACCTAAAACATGTTTTTCTACATTTTAAGCTATAAAAAGCTAATTCTTAACTGGAAAACAAAGGAAAGGAATTCAAATTAAGATGGTTTCTGTATATGATTAGCTGCCTGCCATCTCAGAACACCAATTTATATAGGTTTTAATTCACAGTTAGAATTCTGTCAAAAGGAAGGGAAATTTCAGATAAAGATAAAGCACCACTAAGTATGAGAATATTATATCTAAGTTACAGGCAGTGAGCCACAATGGCTCAGTCAAGTTTCTCTACCTACTTGGTGGATAAGGAACAGCAGCTCTTCCATCCTTCCCAAGAGGTCGGTCTTCTGTCCCAACTGCAGGCATTTTTGATGAGCGCAGAGCAGGTGATACAGCCTAAGAACAGACGGTGTTATTAAAACAGAGTGACGTGTATATAAGTAGGGCAGCATTCAAATATTTCCTAATGTATGCCTATTGGTAGATGCCTCTTGGTAGAAGCGTTTACCAGGTGAACCTCTAGAAATACCAACAGATAGTGAAACAAAGGAGATGGTTACAAGCTTATCAAGTGTAAGAAACAGTGAATTTTTTTCATGGATCTTGTGAGGGCAGATTGCGCCATCAAAGGAGAGCTTGCAGACCTTAAGCAATTCTTCCCTCCCAAGTCAATTTTCAGGGACACAGTGTTACATTAGGGTGGTGCCTCCAGTAGTAACTGACAATTGGTCTGGTTTCCCTTATACTTGGAAGCAAGCAGCTAAAAGGCATAATCTCAAGCCCTCCAATTCTTTTTTTTTTTTTGCATTTATCACAACAAACTATGTATCTTCTGTACCTATTTTTATAGTTACTATTTATCTTCACCAAAAATAACCTTATTGTGTAAAATTATTGAAATATTCAGAAGGTTTTTCTCTGATCTGTTATTCAAAAACAAACCAAGTGCATTACTGGGCAAGATTATCTTTAACATTAAATGAACTGGTGATGAATTAAAATAAAATATAAAATAAAGCAAAAAATGATTTTTACAAATAGAAGGCCTTTTATTTATTTATACTTATACAATGTCACAACATTGAAATGTAAAATTAAAATTAAATTCAAAGACACATGAGATGACAACTCAGCCAACAGCCTCCCAACTCCATTTACGAGTAGTAAGATGAATTAGCAATATATTCTAAGGTAAACCGCTCATGTGATTAAATGCCAGACTAAAAATCAGAGTAAAGCAAAAACACTCAGAGAAATGAAAATTTGATTGAAAATGTCCAATTCTCCTTTTCATGTTAATATTACTAAAAGTATATTCCCAACAGTTAAACATTTCTTCATTAAGCTTAATAGTAATTCATAATTTATACAAAGAATAAGTTCAGTGGCCCAGAGCAGAAACAATTACCAGGATGGTGGTCATGAACAGATCAGGCAGGCCACTCCAAAATGCTTGCTCTGTTCCTTTCTTTCTCCTCCTTTGACTTGTACCTCCTTTTCTTTTCATATTGGATTCCCATCACCATTGCCAAAGCACCTATCCTAACCCTCTGTATCTTTAAAACCAAACCCAGGCAGCACTTGGCCTCCAGTGGATAGTCAAATTCAATGCCTGGATCAGCAATGAAGAAATGAGTCATTTCTTCTACCAGAGTTTTTCACATTTTCATGTCCTTTTCCTTCATGTGGCCACTGTATAAATTCAGATTCTAGTGTTCCAATCCAACAAAAGTTACCAGATTAGAGGATTCCTGCTTTCGGCATATCAGACTGGAAAAAAAAATAGCCCTTCTGCCAGTTCAGTTCTATACTCAGCAGCCCTCAGAGGAACACATATTAGTACAGTTTAAAATCCAAAACTTTCCTAGACCTATCAGTCTCTAATCATCCAAAAAAACAGACCAATGGTCTGTTCCTTATCCCTGAAAGCTAATCTAGTTCGTTTTTGTTGTTTAATCAAGGCTCATTCCACACTTAAACTAATGTCCCTCCCCCTTCCTCTCAATGACCCCTTCTTTCCATATTTCAAGTACAATCCATTCTTCCAGACCATTATGATCTCCTCATCTTCTAAGTACTTATAACAGTAATGGTATATAATATCTGTTAGATACATTTTATTTTAAAGTTTGGGCTTTAGAAATGTTTCCTACTTAACTTTCAAGCCTTAACTTAAACACTGCTCCCCATCACTTGGTCACGTCGTATCTGAATGTCCAGCAACTTTAGATTCAGGTCTATTATTGTACTCACAGCAATAAGTACATTATAACTTTATGTGCCATTTCTCCTTATGTCTGTGAGTGTCTCAAGTATAAGGGTGGTAATTTAATCATATTTCTAACCTCAATGACTAGCCTTAGTACCACCACAAAGGAATTAACCTTCAAACAATTAACAAATGTATGTAAAACAGATGAATAGGGAGGTAGATAAGTGAATGAATGAAAGAAAAGTAAACTAATAAGCTGACCTTTTTGAAAACAGAGCCTATCTTACTCATCTCTAGATCTCCCAGAAAAAACAGGCACTTGTATTTGCCCAAAGGTACAGAGTTGGTTAGGAGGATGAGGACACACATTTCCTGACTCTTAGTTCTGCTGATCTCCAAAGAATTATAATAATTATTCTTCTCTGTCATTTTAATTGTATGCTGCCTTGTAGTATTTAACTTCTATGTATATAAATTCTATTCCCCTACAATGATGCCATGATCTTAAAAAGTATAAATCATATTTGCATACCTAACCTCTGACTTATTAGATGAATAAAAAGTTATGTGGGCATTACTTTAAAAATCAAACCTAAGGGACAATGTAATACATTTCTAGTAGTCCTGTGATATTTAGAAGAATTTATTACAATAAATGTGAGAGATTTTAATATGTACAACTGGAATACACTAATGAAAAAGATCCTTCAATGAACAAAACTCGAGGTGGATACACTACACTAATAACCTTTACAATCTTTTCCAAGTATACAAACTTTTTTTATACAGCATGACTAGATTCCAGTATACAGACATTTATAAAGAACATTCAGAACCTGAAATAAGAGCCCCCAAATTCAGGACACCAAACTATAAAGAAATACTACAACACTGATATAAAGTCCTTTCATGTAGCGAAATTTTTGTTTATGTAGCTACGGCAAACTCACCCCAAGTTCGTCGTCATCAGAATTATCAAAGATGTTGTCTAAGTCATGCAGGGAAGGTGCCAAATCTGTTACCTGTGTAAGGCTACTGGAGCCAGCTCTGCCAGCAGCATTATCCTGCCGGACATCTGTAGGAAAGGAGGCAAAAGACACAGAATAAACAACTCCACCAAGCGCAAAGGAGTAGGGAGAGGACACGGATCTCAATGAACATGACCTGCCTGTGAGTTTTTCCCTATGGTTTTAGTTAAATTTAGAGACAATTATTTCCAAATATGTTTATCAGTTTTGAAAGGAACTGAAAAACAAACTATGAAAAATATATTAAAGATGAGATGAAATTCTTATTACAATAAGAATAAAATTTTACATTGAGAAGCATCTCCTTTGCATTTCATTTTAGCAACAATCCAAGTGAGGCAAATAATCATTGTACACACCTGTTTTAGTAGCAGAACTGAAAATAGACATGGCATTTTTCCCATCAGGCACCGGCGTGGAATGACCTGGTGTAGTGACATCCTTGGTACCAAATCCATCCTCTGACTGTATAATAAATTCAGCCAAACAAAACACATGAACACCAACCCAAAGTGTGAAATATGAGGGAGAACACAAAGAATTAGAGGGTAGAATGGAACTTGTTATGAGCACAAGTATGATAAACCATGGTCTATGCAACCAAAGGAAGTAAAAGATAGGTCCTTTCTCTGGAATTTCAACAGAACCATGAGCTCCCCACTTTCCCCTCAATCCTATGGGGTATTCTGAGTGAATCAGTGTTTTATGCCTAAGCAGTACTGGTGGCATTTGATTACAGACCTGCCATGGTGTTAAAAGCTGCCTTTAACAACATTTTAGATGCTAAATTATAGATTTGGCTTTCTGGGTCTAGGGAGATCTGTATAAAACAATCTAAAAAGCATTCCCCTAACTATACCGGCCTCTTATAATTGTTTTATTTCCTTGATTCTCAAGAATACCTATTTCAATGGCCCATATTTTAGAATGTCTGAAAATTTGAAATTAAAGACAGCAGACACAACCAGTACTCATTTTTATGATGATGAAACCAGTAAAATTAATACTGATAGTCTATGGGTAGAGTTGATATTAACCCAGAGAATATATAGGTACAGCGCTCAGCACAGTAAGGATAAGAAGCGCTCGATAAATTGTGTATACCTACTGTTACAAACATTTTTTCCTTTACATTTTGGGTAGTTCGGAATAATATTTTAAAAGAAATAGGGAGCATAGGCCAACAAGAATTAGCATATGAGAGAAAACATGCACTGTACAAGCTATAGCCTGGAAAATATGAGGCTTCATTTATGTTCGGCTGACTTTTAAACAAAGGTGAGCCATGACATAAAAAGGAACAATACGCTGTTCAATACAATAGTACCAAGAGCATGAATATGGGGACAGAGCAATCAGGCAAGACTATCTCAAACGTTCTGCCTCCAAAGTCTTCCCACACATGTTGTACTGACATAGATAGAAACCCACACCATGCTGGACTCTCTCTCTGTTAAATGGTACCTTATTCTTTTTCAGGGAATCTTTCTCCGTCCCTTGTTTGCATTTCTTGTTGGCTGTAAAGATGTATTTTATGTCACCATCTTCAAAGGTATATGGGTCATTCACTTCTCCCAAACTGTCTCCAGGTTGTTGTGATAGAGGCAATGGGTCAAGGAAGTGGAGTGGCTGCAACTGGGGCTGTTTGTCTTGCCAGATTTTAAACCGTTTGTTAGGTTGTGCTAAGAGTCTAAAAGACAAAAAAAAAAAAAAAAAAAAGAGCATTTATGCCTTAAAGCATTTACAAAGTTTAAACTTTTTGTAAAAACAACTAAAAATTCACCGATATAGTGATTTGCTTTTACAGTTTATATTCATGATTAAATAAAAATTAGCATACTTTGTCAAGAATATATGTTTTTGTCTCTGGGTCCATCAATTCCACTTAAGAGCACAGGTTCTCAGGACAGACTGCCTAGTTTCAAATTCCATCTGTGTCATTTACTAACTGCATGGCCCTAGTTTCTCAGTTATAAAATTAACGTAATAATATGGTACAGTGAAGATTAAATGAGATCATCTATGTAAAGTTTTAGAATGGGTGGCTCAAAAGAGCTATAAATATTATACTAGATACATGATACATACACCTGAATGCAGGCAAAGCCTTCCTCAAAAATGTCAACATACAAAGAAGGCACTGACAGCAGTATGGAAAGTCTTATAAAGCTATATTCTTTAATTAACAAACAGTAGGGCAAAAATGTATTAATATATTTGGAGTGTACTTAAATGGCATAAAGAGTTCTTTATATGCCCATGTGTCAAATGACATGTGTGCTAACCTATAAGTAGGACAAAGCATTTGACCATTAAACATTTTCCATATCCGGAGTCAAGAAGGACAAAGAAAAGCCTACTTCAATTTTGAATCTGAAAGTTTAGCAGGTAGAGATGGGGAGGGAGCCCATGCCCTTCCGGTGGACGGGTGGGTGGTGCAGAGAGCTGTCTTACCTTTGCAATGCAGTGCTCTCTGAGTTTACCTCCATTTTGGCATCACATCTCTCACCCTGGAGCTCTGGAGGCCTGAACTCAGCATCATCACTGGGTGGGAGACGATAACTATGCCACCACTTTTCTGATGACTCCGGGTTCGAGGGCCTAATCCCACAATATAAGGCTGTCTCGCTGACCTCTGCCATGAGAGGCAGTCTTTGGCCTACGAGGACAGTTCTGTCATCCAGAGTAGACAACTGCTGGAGTTCTAGTCCATTTCCATAAAGGGCTGGATTCACAGGGACCGATGGTGGGTCCAAACTCTCTGTTTCCTGACCTCGTGGCTGAGGGCTGAGTGTTGGTGGCAGAGGGGATATAGGGGAATGAGGTGAATCCATAGGATTCAGATTCATTTGCTTGCTTGTATTTCTGGAAGGCACGGCCATTTGCTTATCATATTTCCTACTGCTAGACACCTCTAAGGAGGAGTCTATCCCTGCCAACCCTAGTTTCTGTCCTGGTGTATCTTGCTCCATGCATAATTCTTCGGCCACAGAGGGCCTATGGTGAAATGGTATTAAGGGTCTCTTTTGCAGCTTGTCTCCTTTTTCCTGTCTTTCTGCTGTTTTGTGCTTAGAAGAAGCAGGAGGTGGTAAAGATGAAGATGATGATGGTCCTGCACTGAACCCTGGTTGAGATACTGTGGGAGGTCGATTGGGCCCGACTGCACAACGTTTTAAAAGCTTATGCCTAAAATGAGAGTAAACAATTACATCATTATAACATTAAGAAAAGAGATTCTCTGACAAAATTTTGCCTTTTAAAGCATACATTAGATGTACTAATACATATAAAAGGGCTCTAAGTTTTTAATTATACTTATATAACTAAAAAACACAATACACCCCAATGAAAAATGAAGAATCAATCACATACAAGTTAAGCAGATAAGAAATGGGCACAGCAAAAGATGTAAGGTACATTGCTAATCCCTACAAATCACTGATTCAAAAAAACCCAAATCTTTTAGATTTGGTGAGGGCCTCAGATAACCTATTCATACTGCATCTTAAAACCATGAGAGTAGAGTCATGAGATTCTCTGCCAAGAAACAACAAAGCTTCCAATTTCTATTTTATAACACTCTACTAACTGTAATATAGAATGGCTTATAATGGCTTGTAGTGCTGTAAATTGGGAATAAAATAACTACGCAACTACTCTGCCTCAAAGTGTGGAACTAAAACAGTAAGTTTCAATCCTAAGAACATTTAATAGGATAAATATACTAGAAACTTTATGTGCCACTATATCTAGGCAAGAAGGGATAAAAGACAACTTTGGATCTTACAGACACACGTTAAAATGACAGAAGTTAACACCACACATACACAAATGCACCTGAACCATCTAAGCAGAAAAACCAAGTCGGCTCACATCTTAACACACTTCTTGGCAAGCATGGGTGTGAAAAATGGCTCAGTAAGAGCCCACTACATGATGCCAAGGTTTAATCTGTACAACAAAGTTATACTGCATGTCAGCCAGTACCTCCCAATATATAAATCATTCCCGGGGAAAAATATGAGGTCTCCTGCCGGTGTAGTAGTAACTCTCTGAGGCCACTAGGGTGGCATTAAATTACTGCTGCATTGCCCTAAATGATGCCCTAGTGAGCAGTAAAACGGATTTGTGGGGCATAATGGGATGGTTTAGTGGGACAGCAGGATGGCTGCCCTGCTCCATAAGGCCATTAAAGAGTGGAAGGAGTGGTCTGTACCATAATGGGTTTGGTAATCCTGCAGCAGATAATCTGCAAATACTCTTGCCAAAGTCTTTGCTACTCTAAAAAAATAAAAACAAACACTCCTGAACTTCTTGTCTTTAAGCTCAATGAGCATGGTACCACAGTAACATGTGAACGTCTCATCAGAAAGTATCTCAATAACTTATGAAGGTACTTACTTTAAAACCTAAAATTTAAAAGTCTTTTAGACTTTTTTTCTCAGAGAGCATTTACCCGCACTAGTTCTTTGAGAGACACTTTATGATACCCTCTTCAAAGTAAAGATTTTTTGCAAAGTGGATAATCTAATCATAAAGTAAGTTTTTTCAACTGTATTTAATGATTCAGCTACATTGCAAAAAGGTTAGAATGAGGAATGCACAGTAGGTAGGAGAGAATCACAGTGCGTCTCAGCAGGAAAAGAACCTGATGCAGGCAGTGGGAAAATCAGACGAAGTCGGCACACTATATGGGTGACTGGTGGTAGGAAGAAACCTGAGGCAGGGCCCAAGCATGTAGAAATAGATCATGACTAAAAGAACAAGGAAAGGAGAAGGATTACAATAGGCATTTCAAAGGAAGTCAGTGTGAAATCCAGTGACAGATTACATCTAACAAGTCTGTAGGCTGGGAAGAGAAAATTGTGATAAAAATGACCACAATAGGGTTCCAGGTTTGCAGGGAAGCATACATGGCAAAAATTAAGGATTTTTCTTTTTTTTTTTTTTTGAGATGGAGTCTCGCTCTGTCTAGGCTGGAGTACAGTGGTGCGATCTCGGCTCACTGCAACCTCCGCCTCCCGGGTTCAAGCAATTCTCCTGCCTCAGCCTCCTGAGCAGCTGGGATTACAGACACGCACCACCATGGCTGGCTAATTTGTGTTTTTGTTTTTTTTTTAAGTAGAAATGGGGTTTCACCATGTTGGTCAGGCTGGTCTCGAACTCTTGACCTCGTGATCTGCCTGCCTTGGCCTCCCAAAGTGCTAGGATTACAGGCGTGAGCCACTGCACCCAGCCTAAGGATTTTTCTTAAAGGCATCCCCCAAAATACAAGACTATGTGAAAGTCAGGTTGGGACAGAAGTTGGAAAGTCAATGGAATGGTGCCTTGGTATGCATATGGTTATAAAAAAAAGACCTGAAGATATATGCATTTGGCAAAGAAATACAACAATAATTCCAGAAAACAAAAAGCAAAGCATTATTTGTTTATTTACACTTAACGTGTTACAAAAATAATTCCAGGTAGCTAATAAAAATGTGTAAAAGTCAGTAAATACGTTATCTTTTTAAGTGAAAAAATCTGGGCTAAGGAAAGAGCAGGGAAAATAAGATGAAAGAAAAGTTAAATACACTACAGTTTATATCCTATGTATGTGCTAAAGGCGGGCCTTAACTTGGCTGTGAGCTGTCCATAAGTCAAAGTTACTGGGAAAATACTTTTTGTCACACAATTCACAAGAGCCTAGAGACAAGAGTAAAGTAGGTATTCACCTACTAACACCAGAGAGAGGCTCTCACATGCTCAGAGAGGGAACCCTTAATGAGCAAGCAACTTCTTCAAAAACATCCTCCCTGAAAAATCAATAATGAGTTTCATTAGGCTTATCCTTACATCTCTCAACAAGAGGCTACCAAGGCAGAGCTCGATAAAGAATCAATTCAAGGGGCAGGGGAGAAGAGGAAAACGTGTCAAAGCTGTTCCCTAAGTGTACACACGCAGCAGTCTGCATATATGCAGGGGGCGTATGGACTACCTCCTCAGCCTGAAGCCAAGTCACTCATGCTACATTAAGAAACCCTGATCTCACCAGAGACATGAATGGCCATCTTCTAAATATGCTTATCTCACCTGAACTTTTTATCAACATTGAACAGTATCAAATTTGAAAGTGTATATTTCAGAAGCAGGGCTACTCAAAATAGCCCAGTCGTGGTGAAAAATCATCACCACTTCTTCTAACTGTCAAATGAGCTGGGGGTTAAGACTTATGCCCAGTTAAAGAATTTAAGAACCCTAATGAAAACCTATGATGGTAAGATTCTTTACTACAACAAAGAGTGGTAAGTCAATGGAATATCCATGAAGAATGCAAAAATTTTCTACAAAAAAAGCAATCTGAGGACGTATCCAAAGAACTAAATGAATAAGCAAGGTATCATTACTGCAACAGTTTTAGCTTTTAGCAGTTGTGACCAAATACCTGTCTCGATCAAAAAACACCACTGCTAGCAACAAAACAAATTATCTACAGAAAGTCTCTTTAATCCAAATTCTATTGACTCAAGCCCATCTGTTTTTAATGTATCTCTACTTTAAAATTAAGAGTAGTTAAATAAAGTCATTTAAAGGGCTAAGAACTGTCTTGTCAAACTGATGCCTTTAGTTTTGAAGCTGCTAACCAGAAAAAAGTTGTGGGAGCAATATGTTAACAGGGCCGATTGTCTAACAAACTCTGAGTCCTGACAATAAAACTGTATCATCTGCATATAAGAAAAAAACTAATCTTTTTCTTCTCTACTGGAGGAGAATGGAGAATCAGGAAGAACTGATCTGTGAGGCCAGGAGATGAATCAACAAGATGCGCCATCATTCGATCCATTACTATTTTGCCTTTTTTATTACCTACCTGGAACAAGAACAGCTGACTCTTTGGGTTGGATCCACAAAATCCCAAGTAGCAGGATTGCTAGCAGGCTCTTCTTCAAGAGTTGGAGTTGACATTTGGCTCCTCCTAAAAGGGTTAAAAATGTGACTTATGTGTGAACATAATACCCATACCCCTGGGGAGAAAAATGTTCAAGAGTTGAATACATTTCATTCACATAGTAATGGTATCCTGCTGACATGTAGTTCAGAGCAACCAATGAATAAAACAACCTGTTTTATGTACTGGAAGCAGGATTCAAAATGTTTCCATTTGGCTGGGCGCATGTGGTTCATACTTGTAATCCCAGCATTTTGGGAGGCTAAGGTGGGCGGATTGCTTGAGTCCAGGAGTTTGAGACCATCCTGGGCAACATGGCAAAACCCCATATATACAAATACAAAAATTAGCCGGGCATGGTGGCGCTTGCCTGTAGTCCCAGATACTTGGGAGGCTGAGGTGACTGCTTATCGGTAGCATATGAATTCTGAGTCAGGAATGATGGTGATGCCAAACAATCCCAGATTATCCACATGGGTGGCTGAGATAGACACCCTTGCTTACTCAGGGTTCAATGTACACAAACTTTGTTTCATGCACAAAATTGTTTTAAGACATTGTATAAAATTACCTTCAGGCTATGTGCACATGAAACATAAATGAACTTTGTGCTTAGACTTAAGTCCCATCCCCAAGATATCTCATTATGTATATGCAAATATTCCAAAATCTAAAAAAAAATCTGAAATCCCAAACACTTCCGGTCCCACGAACTTTGAGTAAGATACTCATCCTGTAAAATATTTACTAGCATTTAAGAGCAGCACTCCTAATGTGAAATAGAAAATAGAAGTATCGCCTACATATCACTGATAATTGGTAGCGAAAAGCAGATCGCTTTATTATACAATGAAATAACAATAAGGGGCAATATTTTTGGATTGCTGATTTTGCTACAGCAGATACTGCAAAGTGTTTCAACAGTGGCTCTACAGGGAGTTCTCCCACTCTCTGCCCTCCACTGCCCTCCTGGTTGTCTCATCTCCCTGTTCTGTACTGCTGAGAAAGGGACTATGATCTGTTAAGAGTTGTGGAGGTGTAAGGTTGATGGTGATTAAAAATCAAACATGATAAGTGAAAGGAAAAGAAAAAGAAAATGTTTACTTGGAAATAATCTAGGCATTGCAGATGGAAGTAAAAATATCTGTACCAATTATTCTAAAGGAAAGGACCATTTTAAAGTGACTAGAGATAACTTTTTAATTCTAGAATGTGACATGATTTTCCACTGCAATTATTTTAGAGCTCTCTACTACATCTTCAATGGACTATTCTAGAATCAATTCATTGGTCAATATTTAGTATGAAATTGCTAAAAGCTGGGTCCAAAGGACAGGTTTTAAATCTGTATAAAAACTTGGAACAGTAGTCACTTAAGAAACATTTCATTGGCTTCTAAATGAGGGAAGTTATTGGATTTTACTGACATGCATGTCCATATTCATTCTGTTTCAGAGAATCAAGACTCATTTGTCTACTTTCATTAGTCAAGAAAGCAGACATCTACTCATATTAAAACAGAGATGAAACTGTGCTGATTATGTTTACATAAATCTTGATAAGTGGAATAGTACTTATTGACTCCTGTTTGTCATTACTGTTTAGGCAATTAAAATAATCAGCAGCAGTCTTTTCTAAAAATCAATTCTCTCCTTTTCCAAAAGTATGTTAAAGAAGAAAGGCAGGGAGACTGGAAAGGAAGGAAAGTTAGGTCAGGGAAGAAAAGAACATAATTTTCTCAAATCAACAAACAGGAGCACGGCAGATAATAAACACCCCTCCAACTGTCATCAGTCTAGTTCAAAAATGTATTGTTAATTACAACTAAGGCCTGTATACAATAGTAAATCAGCAAGGAAGGTTCTTTCCCTTCACAATAGGGACGCATTCATACATTGATATGCAAGGAAAAACCAAACCCACTGGTTGCTGTCCTGATACCCATGGTGAATCCCTGTGCCAGCTGTGCTACAAAATATTAGGTCAACACCATGCCAATCTGTACAGTATCAGGAACTTCAAAAAGTTCCTCGATAATGAAATCAAGTACAGTAAATGTCTTGATTTTAACATATTTATTTCAAATTTTATTCTATTAAATTCAAAAAGATGAAATACCAATGATGACCTCTCAAGTTTGGTCACACAATAGTGCAATGTGATTGACATTTTCCAGGTAGCAATCAAGGAGATGGTTACTAAACTATGATCTAGACATAATCGAGAAAACTTACTTGGACTGGGTTCTGTTGAGGATGCATTCCTTCCAGACTCGATGGACCATATGATTGTGGAGTTTTGGAGGAATCTTCCCCGATCTCTTTGGACTGTGCATCGTTATCATCCCTCCATCTTGGGAAACCAGGTGACTGGCAGCACTCTGCATACCTCCACTCTCACCTGAAAAAAAAGGCAATTTGGAATGTTAGGATTTTCTGAAAAGGTTTCCTACTTCATAGACTGCTATCTTATTAACATAAATATGCATTTTAATTGTTGAAAGTCATATACATAGCTTTTTCCCTATCCCCTGGCAATAACACTATCTATAATCATGAGTAAAATTTCTATCAGAATGGATTTTTTTCCCTGGAACTCTGTCTGTATGATTCTTTGTTTTTTCCCTAAATCAATTAATCAGATGAACACTCACACAACCATAAGGGCACACACATACATAGGCACTCCTAGTCCACATGTATTGGAAACAACTTAGAAGCAAGGGTACATACATCACAATATTAAAGATGCAAACCTCCACTGATTGTTTTAGATTTTTAAATCTTAACACAGTCAATGAGTTTCAAGGCAAAAGGGAACAGTAGAGGGAGCTTTATACTCATGTAGCTAAATGGCTGTATATCAGCAGCACACAGTGCCCTGGGTAGGAAAAAGAAAGTAATGGCACAAAGCTTTTAACAAGGTCAAATTTCAAATTTGTGTGTGGTACTGTTTGTCCTTATGCCTGACACTATGTATTTAAAACTTAGTACTACGACACTGAAAGAGGTTGTCTTGACATTTTATTTCAGAGGATTAAAAATTCACTGGTTTCTCTCTAGTAACTCCACTTAGTTTTTTCAAATACAGTGGTTATAAATATAATCTATTTCTTTCAACTATGTTCATTATGATTATTGATGATACTGGTTGTTGTTTACATTTTGAGTATTTTACTACTTCTATCTTATATAAGACAAATACTAAAGTCAATTTCCAGTATTAAATTCTGATTGAATCACTTTCACCTATTTGACTTAGTAAGTATATATTATGGATTTTCTTCTCAATAGAACTATGATGCAAAACACCTTAACGAAAGTCAAGGTGAAAAAGAAAGAAGCAACTTTATAACACAAACTAAGTATTCTTATTATCAATGAAAGATGATGATGATACAAGCTGAATGGTCAGGCTTACGTCTATTTAAAAAAAAGACCCAAATGCTTATATTCTAAGGAAATGAAGCGCTCTTCTTTCCGATAAAAGTATTACTATATTACAAATGAGATAAGAAATTTGAACTTTGCTACATTTTAAAAGTTCCCAACTTGGTTCATGATGCAAAAGAATTAATTTCAATTTTACAATTGCTTTTCAAACACCAATTATAAAACTAGGCAAACTAAAGAAATAAACAGAAGTATGAAGTAGATAACATAGACCTTCTCTCCAAAACATCCTATGATATAGCTAAAGAGATCATATGCCCATGGTATCATAAAGAAACAATTTATGACCAAGAAAAGAAAAGAGTAGGGAGAAACAAGCCATAGAGACTTTTCTGACTAAAGCTAGGTTGAAGCTTTTCAGTGGCACTTAAATGACTGAACTAAAATCTGAGTGGTATCTTAGATGGAATTAAACAAGACTTGTTACTCCAATCTGTTAAAATGCATGTTGAATGTTGTTACTTGCAATTACCTCTACATATCAAACAAAGAGGCAAGTGGATATACCAATCCAAATAAGGTATGAGTAATGTCACTAATACTATTCGGCCCTCCTAAGCCCTCTGCTAATCAAGGAGAACCTTGGTGTTTTTTAGACGGCAAAGTAGCCCATTCTGTCCTATATCTAGAAAAATATGGCATTCAACTACAGAATGTCAAGGCTGACCGGGATACTCTCTGATACAGCATTAAGACTCCTAACCTGTAATTCAACATCCTATGATATGAAAATTTAGGCAAATTCATTTTACTACAAGGATATCGGCAGCTTTTGTTCAGTTGTGTGTGTTTGTTTTAAGGAATAAGGCGACATCAGGGGATTTATTTATCCAAGGCCTAACACAATAGCATACAGAGTTAAAGGGGAAGGAATTTGAAGATCCATAGTTAATTAGTCCACACTGAAATCCCCCATCAAAAAAAACCTCTTGTTTCTGAATTATGACTATTAAGAGTTCTGAACTGACCAGAGGTCAAAGCCTCATTTACACAGCAGGCCTTCAATTTTAAGTTGAATACAAATTTCACTAAGTACAAGGCAAAACAAAAACAAACAGATAACAAGTGGATAACTTAATGTAGTGCAATTGTTAAAAATCCAAATTGTGATGTGAAATTAAAAACTTCAAAATACTGATAATTCTAATTTTTATATTCATATATCTTCTCTATGATGATTACTACAAAAGACTATGAAAGTTCTTTTTTAGTTTAATATAGTTGATTGATGATAAATCCTTTCACAAGGAATCATCCAAATTCTCTGCTCTACCAAATGAAAGCCGCAAGTACTTTTTTATTTTTTTGAGATATGGTCTAGCTCCGTCGACCATGGTGGAGTGCACTGATGCTGTCTTGGCTCACGGCAACCTCCACCTCCAGGGCTCAAGCCATCTTCCCACCTCAGCCTCCCAAGTAGCTGGAACTACAGGCATTTGTCACCATGCATAGCTCATTTTTGTATTTTTTGTAGAAACAGGATTCCACCATGTTGCCCAGGATGGTCTGAAACTCCTGAGCTCAAGCGATCCACCTGCCATGACTTTCCAAAATGATGGGATTACAGGCATGAGCCATCATGCCTGGCCTTGGATGTACTTTTCTTTTCTTCTTTTTTTTTTTTTAACCATCTCAGCAAATACATGGTTCTTAAAAACATACATGTCCATTTCTATGTCTCCCACAAAACATCTGAGTAATTACCTCCAGACAATGTGTGCTAAACTTCGAGTTTTGAATATTGCTTTAAATTATTGCTACCACTTGTATATGACTTTATTGTTTACCAAGCACTTGTATATATTACCTAGTATGTACAACAACACGGTAAAGTATGTATTTATCAGAAAAAATAACCAAGATTCAGAAAAACTACGAGAATTAAATAAGGTCACTCACCTTGTAAACGATATAGCCAGGTTTTACAACGAGGTGCGCTCAATCACAAAGTATATGCTTTTCCCCAATATCTTCTTTAACTATAAACATTTATTTAATGCCCACTAATTGCCAAGAATTGTGCTAGAAACTTTCAAATTTTGTCTTACTCTGGTAATTTTCATGAGGATTACGTATGTATCATGCTTGATAGTTTATTTTCAAAGTTTAGCAGCCAAGGCTTTATTTACTCTAATGTTCCTGCCAGCTTGGCCCACATTCAATGCTTATAAATAAATAATCTCATTTCGGCTCAAGTATGATGAGTATCCTTTCCATACTGACCACAGTTCTAATTAAAGTGAGGTCAACTACAACAATAACAAAGTTAATATAGGAACTATACTACTCAATAAAGAAGGCAAAAATGTTCCCAATTTAAACAATTTCTGAATTTTTCCATGAAGACAGGCAGTTCCAACTGTCAAAACTGTCCCATATAATTAATATTTATTATTAATGCAGACACTTTACTGACAGAGAAAAGTATTTATTCAGAGCTACTAAGCACTAGTCTAACTTTACATCTAACAGGGAAAAGAGTTGTTCAAGGCCTGTCCCTGGCTGACAATGGTCACCGGGGCAGAGGCTTCAGCTACTCTCTGATTTAGTATTCTTCAGTTGTTCAAAATTAAAAAAAAAAAAAACAAAAAAAAACCCTACATTTTATCTATATGTGAACACATACACACATACAGGGGCAGATGTGTGTGCAAACTTTAACAGAATCTAAACTATTTAATAACAATAAAGACTAATATGGACAGAGTTAAAATTCTGAAGTGTATGAATTCTGTTTGTTTATAGTTTTCCTTCTCCATTTTGTAATATCCTTACGTTACTCTACTACCTCCATCTCTTCCAACAGGAATTTCTGTTTTCTCACCTGTTCCATGGCAGGTAGACTATACAATTGTCTGAGATCTCTTCTCCCCAGGACACTCCTGGATCCTACTCACCTAGGATAGCCTGTTCTGGAGAGGTGGGAGGGGTCAGAGGCATCCCACAGTTACTTGGGTCCTTCACACTACCAAGCCCTTGCTGCCCAACTGCAATGTGGCCTCCAGCACTGGCAACACTCTGAGGAACCGGGATGTCATTCTGAGAGATCAAAACAAATGCTGAAGGGTAAACCATCCGAACACCACCTATAAGCAAAGAGAACAAGGAAAGAATCAGGACTGAGAAAGAATTCATACAAGACTTCCAATTTTATGATTCCAATGGTGAAAATGAGATGCTCATGAAGTACTGCCAAAAGTGATAGGCTCCATTCTTTCATAAGTTAATAGCTGTTTAAACATGTGTTCCAACATGATGATAAGAGCATTTGGAATACAAGGACCAAGGGTGCTTCAGGCAAGATAACTACTCAGTACATACCATTGTGTCAAGAGAATTTCTTTAAAAAGATGGGTATGGAGATTATTTCTGAAGAATCTAAATGATTATCTTTTTAAATTAAGGAAGAGGAAGAAGAATAAAGTTCTTCAGGCAAAATATTTTCTCTTACCAACAATTACTTCAACTGCCACAGGGAAATCATCATCATATCCCAACTCGTCTTCCTCTTTCGATTCTTCTTTCTTTTTTAGCACCATCGGGTAGAAATACTGCCATTCCTCAATCAACTTACGAGTGGCTGGGTCTGACATCTTGTATGCTTGGCCTGTTAGCGTCCCATTTAAGCCATAAGGACTTACCAGTACTATGGAGGGGAGGAGAAATACATGCTAAACATTAGAGAAATAATTCCTACTTAAGTGCAACACTACATATGTGGTAATTTTAGGTTACAGTATCACTTAATGTGCATTGTTCTTTATTTCCTAACTCTATTTAAAGTATGATTTAAAAGAAATTTTTTTAAAAATTATTTTTGTAGAGACTGGGTCTCACTATGTTGCTCAGGCTGGTCTTGAACTCCCAGGCTCAAGTGATGCTCCCGCCTTAGCCACAAAAGTATGATATTTTGAAGTTTCTTGTTTTAAAATTTCTTATTATTTATACACCTCTCACCTCCCACAATTTTTAAACGAAATAAAATATGGATAGTACAATGTTATCAGACAGCTATGCTTTGAAGCATATACATATCTGTTTAATAATAGCCTGTACAATGTAAACACTGACTCTCTCAAAACAGAAGAAAATCATTCAACATGGAGACCGCAAATGCTGCCTAAAACTTGAACACTCTTGTGGTTCCTGAGACTCCCTAAACATCTGTGGTAATCAAAGAATAACATATAAATGAAATTTCTAACAGTGGGAAAGTTTTAATGTACAAAAGCTTGAAGCATAATAGTTATCGTTTCTGTTTTGACTGTTTTAGAGGTCTGTTGATAAAACAACTCTAAGTAAAATTTGATTTAACTCAAAGTAAAGGACCCAAAGTCCTCTATCTTCTTTCAGTATTTGACCTTGATGGCATTTTCACTGAGTCAGACACAAAAATATAGTTAATATAGTACTGTGAATTACCCAGCCAGTTCATAGCCTTGAAGTGAGTACTTCAATCTTCCAAATAATACGTTTCTGAAGATAAAGGCCACTTTTTCTTAATTCTAATTTTTAACAAAAACTCAGCATGGTCATTAAACGGAATGTCTTTTTTTTAATTTTTTTAAAGAGCTAGATCATATGTCACATCAATCAAGAGAGAGACAGTTATAGACATCACATGTATCGTTGAGTCTTTCTGCTGTTCCTCAATGATCCAAATGGGATAAAAATACTGACTCCAACTAACACAGTTAATCAAGGGTAATTTTTTTGCAATAATGCTTCCAGGAAATTCCCACATCAATTTGGATAATTATGATGAATATAATTATCCATAAGGACAGCAACTGCCTTAGTATGGTCTTCCTCCACACCAATCATGGAAAATAAGCAGAATAATGCTCCACAAAAGTATTCTATGACTTCCATCAGTGACAAAAATCAGAAAAATTAAAAGTGGTCTATAGGGACCTGGTATTCCTAATATTATTGTTCCCAACATTGAAGATTAGAAATAAGTTCTCTTCCCTCATGACTACTTATTCCTCTGTTATTACCATAACTAAATGCTTTTATTCTGAGTGATAAAATGTTGGATGGAGTCAGATGGTCCTCAGCACTTTTACACTCAAGAAAACAGTATTTTAAAAATTCTGATAAGCCATAATTTGCAAATACTGTACAATTTGTACTGTACAGTTTAAGAATTGGGTTTTGAATTTTCTAGTAGTTTTATTATATTTGGGGCAAGAAACAGATGCTTTCATTGAATTAAATCAGAATAGTTTATAGAAAACAAAAAATAAATACAATGGAGGCTAAATGCTCATGACAGGCTTTTACAGCAATTATAATATTTTAGTCAAGTCTGTTAAAATATCAGTGTTTTTTAAAATTATATTGTGTGATATGCTAAGACTATTTCAACCAGTCATCTCTAATAATGACATATTAGACTGAACCAAAAAAAGATTGTTTCCATACGGTTCAATCTAATATTATAACATTTAAAAGCTGTTACTCACAGAAAATTCTGAATTCCAAAGACAAAACTAAGATTTGTAATGCTCAGATCAAAAGGACATGAAGTTATTTTGGTGATATATAGGTGGTAAAGCTGAGAATTAATGAAAATATGAATGTATCAATTACATTTAAATTACAGCTAAATACCTATTACCAATGGAGTTTAAAATTAAAACAAAGTTAGGAACATCGCTGAAGAAACTATACACTGTATAATTCTAGAACTTTGATTCTGATAGAAATTTCAAATACTAAGTATTTGGTTTATCTTCTATAAACCATTACATTCCTAAAACCTTGTTAATAAACACAACAATGAAAACCTTTAATTTGTGACTTTGGTCAATTACTCATTGAATTCTATTTTTCAAGTATTTATTGATTTTCTTTTGTTCTGAAGGAAATTCTACATTTTATTCTTACAAAAGAATACACATAAGACCATCTTATATATGCGATAAGCTTCAGCGAAAAACTAACACACTATTACTACTTAATTATGAAATGGTAGTCTTTTCTTCCTTCTTCAAAATCTGACCCTTATGCTTAGCTTTAAAATGTCCATTTAAGATAAGGTCTCACCCTGCAAAACTTTACTGGGCAAGATGGTTATCCACTCGGTGGCGGATAGGGGTGGAGAGCAGGAACACCCATACTTACCTTGAAATGGTGCAGGTGAAGACTGAGCCATGTGTATATGCTCCTCATTGATCAAATAAATTGGCTGGTGCTGGGCAATCTCCACACTTGTGCATACATTACTTTCTCCATGCAGAAAGAATGTGAAAGCACAGGACAAATGCTCACTACAAAAGAGAGAATGAGAAACTCAACTTTATATTTTGGTAGGAAAGGGTGCTAGAAACAGGAACTACAGGTAAGATACAGCTCTACTTTATCAACCGTCCAGTAAGGCTGACTTCTAATTGTGGGCAAAAGAGAAACTTCTAATTCAGTATTGACAAACTAAGCCATCAGATAAATCTGGAAATACGAATATACTGCATTGAGAACTTTTGTAAGTTACTGTACAAAATGTTTCCAGTTTCATTTGCATAAAATCTAACTCTTATGCCAACTATAAACACCTAAGAACAGAGAAGGAATTGGAATAGTTTTCTATTGTCTCAGTGTCTAGCACAAGACAAGCACTCAAAACGTGTTAAGTCAAATAAATGAATAAACACTTAAAAGACTTATTTTTTAAAGTGGCCCACTGACCCAGCATAACAGCTCACACCTGTAACTCCAACGTTTTGAGAGGCTGAGGCAGGAGGATAACTTGAGGCCAGAATTCAAAACCAGCCTGGGCAACATAAGACCTCATCTCCACCAAAAATAAATAAATGAATTAGCCAGGCACGGTGGTGTGCACCTGTAGTCCTAGCTCCTGAGGAGGCTGAGGTGAGAGGATCGCTTGAGCCCAAGGGTTCGAGGTTGCAGTGAACTGTGATCAAGCCACTGCACTCCACCATGGACAACAGAGCAAGACCCCTGTCTCAAAAAAAGTGGCTTACGAACAAGATCAGAAGGCAACCCCTCAGCACATTTTTTCAAAATTGTAACTTTGGCCCTAAGATAGCCATAACACATCTCCATTTCTCAAAACATCTCGTAAGAACATTTTCCTGATGAAACAAAATCACTTTTACTAAATAAAGCCAAGCAACCACAATTTTTAAAAGTCATCTCAAAGATGCTGCTTCTTTTCAAAACTTCTCTAAAGTATTATAAAGTACATTTGGAGTACTACTCAAAAAAAAAATGTTGTTTCAAGTGCAAAATCATAATGCTTGAAAGGAAAACATGAAATAAAATTAAAATGTTTCTCTATCACATAGTGACACATATATATTCTCCTTTGACCAGTATGTTTAGATAACATTTTTTGTTTTACCAAAATATGACATTTCACCAGTAGGAAACACCCAGTCTTGGTATCTGGGTATTTAACATGACAGAGTAAATTCAAGATAGTGACTACAATTTTAAAAGAATTTTGAAAAAAAGTTTTAAAAACCCTTGATACCATACTTCTAAGTTCACAAAAGCAAAAATGCACATAATTTGAACATCTATAGGTATAAAATAATATAAACAGTAAAAATACTCTGTCCTTTATGAAAATGACACTAGAAACACACCATCTTCTACATACAACATTATGTCTGGCACATTAAATAGGACCAAAATATAGTTTTACTGATTGTGGATTGGCTTATTTTTCAGCTGTAAATTTCAGCTAAGGGAGTTTGAGCTGACTTATCCCTATTCATGCCCAGTATCCCATGTAGTTACTAGCTTATTTATAAGAAGCTGGTGGGAGAAATAAATGTAGACTACAGCCATAGAACATGTTCTCTATTCCACCGAGTCCCAACTGTGCATCAGAACAAATACAACCAACATTTATCTAAGAATGGTGCAAGGAGCCTGAAGTGACACTGAAGAAAACACAGTCCTTGCCCTCAAGGAGCATATTCACTAGCAAGAGACTGATATGAAAACACATGAATAAAATAAAGCCAGGCACAAACATACAAATAATAACAAAATGCCATAGAAAGGCTAACCAGTAGTGATTTCTTCAATTTAGAATATACAAACAAATGCTTTAAGAAGAAAAGAACAAATGAAAATTTGAGAAACGTCCATTCAGGTATTTTGCCCAGCTTTTAAATCTGGTTGGTTTCTGCTACTGACTTGAGTTCCTTAGATATTCCAGATATTAATCCCCTGTCAGATATATAGTTTGCAAATATTTTCTCCTATTCTGTGGGTTACCCTTTCACTCTGTTGGTCAGTTCCTTTGCTGTGCAGAAGCTTTTTACTTTGATATAACCCCATTTTCTATTTTTGTTTTTATTACCTGGACCTTTGAAGTTTTATTTTTAAAATCCTTGCCCAGATCAATGAATGTGAAGAAGGATTTCTCCTATGGTTTCTTCTAGTAGTTTCATGCTTTTTTTTGGCGGGGCGGGGGGGGGGGGGAGGTGATCTTGTTTTTAAATTGAGAAATAGGGGTCTAGTGTCATTCCTCTGCATGTAGAAATCCAATTTTCCCAGCATCATTTTTTGAAGACACTATTCTTTCCTCTAGTATGTGCTCTTGGCACCTTCTTTTAAATCAAGTGTCTGTTGATAAGAGAATTTATTTCTGGGTTCTCTATTCTGTTCCATTGATTTACGTGTCTGTTTTTATGCCAGTGTCATGCTATTTTGGTCACTACAGCTTTACAGTATACTTTGAAGTCAGGTAGTGTGATGTATCCCCCCACCACTGCTTTGTTCTGAAAATAAAACATGCAAATGGCCAACAGGTATATAGAAAAAATGTTCAACATGAGTAATCATCAGGGAAAGGAAATCAAAATCGCAGTAAGATATCCCTTCACTCCAATTAAAATGGACATCATCAAAAAGATAACAGATAACAAGTGTTGGCAAGGATGCAAAGAAAAGAGGACCTTTATACACTGTTGGTGGGAATGTAAATTAAGACAGCAATTATGAAAAACAGTATAAAGATTCCTCAAAATGTTAGAAATACAACTACCATATGATCCTGTAATCCCACCACTGGTGATATACCCAAAGGAAATGAACTCAGTATGTCGAAGAGTTATCTGCACTCCCTTGCTTATTCATTATTATTCACAATAGTTAAGATATGGAATCAACCTAAGTGTCCATCAAGGGATGAATGAATGAAGAAAATGTGGTATATAATACACAATGGAATACTATTAAGTTATAGAATGAAATCCTGTCATTTGAGACAACATGGATGAACCTGGAGGACATTATGTTAAGTGAAACAGATCAGACACATAAAGACAAATACCACATGATCTCACTCACATGTGGAATCTAAAAAACCTGATATCATATAAGTAGAGAACAGAATTGCCATTATCAGAGGCAGGGGAGGGGAAGGGAAGAGATGGAGGAGGTTAGCCAACAGTTACAGTTAGAAACAATAAGTTCTAGTATTCTATTGCACAGTAGGGTAACTAGTTAACAATAATGCATTGTATATCTCAAAACAGGTAAAACAGACAATGTTCTTACCACAGAAAAATGATAAATGTTTGAGGTTATGGATTTGTTAATTACCCTGATTTGATCATTACACGCTGTATACAGGTATCCAAGCATCACTTTGTAGCTCATAAATATGTACAATTATTATGTGTCAATTTAAAATAAAATAGAATTCAAAAAAAGAAAGAAAATAGGGTTTAATAGTAAAAAGAAAAAGTAAGAGAAAACATGAGGCAAGGAACAGATGTGGTTAAGAGAAGGATATAGTTTGGAATGGTGGGATGTGACTGGAAAGGAGTCAAAAAAAGGATGTCGGGGGCCATCCCTTGAGACATCGGAAGACTCGTATATGCAAAATAACAGGCAGTTAATTTAAGGATTGGTTTTAGAAAGTCTAAGGAATTGTTATAAAAATTTCAAAATAGTATTCATTTGAATTTGCTATGTCCCAAAACACAGACAGTTGAGAAGCATAAATAAAAAAGATTAAAATCGAATCAAGGATCTTTTATATTGATAACTTAAAAAACAAAATGTCCTTTTAAAAGAGGCACTGAAAACAAGAAAAATAGAAGTTATAGTGGAAATATAACAGAAGCCACCAGTAACTATATATTTTTGGCAAGTTATTTCATCACTCTGATCAGTTTCCATAGATGTAAAAGCACCTGTTAGTGCAGACTGCTGGGCCCCTGAGGCTCTGATTCAGGAGGTTTAGGGTGGGCCCCATAAATCTGCATTTTTAACAAGTTCCCATGTGATGCTGCTGCTGCTGCTGCTCCTGGCTCAAAGACCACACTTTGAGAATCACTGGATTTGATAATGCCTAAATCCCAACTATTAAATTCTATTTTTTCTAAGATCATGTAAAACAAGGACAGGAATGACAGCACTGACACTAGAAAGTTGAATCCCCCTGTGACCTAGCAACAGCACTTCTAAGAATTTATCCCATATATAAAACTATGGTATAGAGTACAGATTATAGCACTGCTTGTAATAAAGTCTGAAAAACACTAAAATGTCCATCAGTAGTGGACCTGTTAACTAAACTATGGTATGTAAGCCACAAAGTAATGCCCTGCAGCCATGTAAAAGGAAATGATCACACTGATACGGAAACACCTCCAACAAGGACTATTATGAGAAAAAAGGAAAAAGGTACAAAACAATATGAGTAATATACACCCAGCTGTATAAAATGTGAAAGTGGGGAGAAAAATATTTCCACACACAATTTGCTTACAATTTGCATGTGGCATAACATTTTTCTGAACAGATCATTTAAAAAACCTAATAACAGCTGGGCAAGGTGGCTCACGCCTGTAATCCTAGCACTTTGGGAGGCAGAGTTGGGCAGATCGCTGAGCTCAGGAGTTCAGGACTAACCTGTGCAACATGGCCAAAACCACATCTCTACAAAAAATACAAAAATTAGCTGGGTGTGGTGGCACTGCCTGTAGTCCCAGCTACTCGGGTGGCTGAGGTAGGAGGACAGCTTGAGCCTTTGAGGTTGAGGTGGCAGACAGCCCAGATCATGCCACTGAACTCCAGCCGGGGTGACAGAGAGACTCTGTCTCAAAACAAACAAACAAACAAACAAACAATCCCTAATAATTTTGGTTCCCTCGGGGAATGAAACGGCATGACTAAAGGGGAAAGAGAGAATTCACAATATTCTTTTATACTTGTTGAAATGTGGGATCATGTGTCACACAGAAAGCAATGTGAAGGCAAGATCTGAGGAAGCCCTTGCCTCCTATCCTTATGCAGCGCTGCTTGTTGGCCCAACCAGAGGAGTGCTCTAGAGAAATCCGCGGTGCTTCCATGTGTCATATTTGGTGCTTAAGTCAAAGCCTGCTGAGACCCTGATTTTGTAATCCAACATACAAGTTACTTGCTTAGCAAGCCATCAATATCTTTATCCAAAGCAATGCTAAAAATGGTGAAATAAAAACCGCACTGAGAACAGAATCCTGTGCCATCTCATCAGATAACTCCAAGTTACAAATTCAACAATGAGTTGTCACTCACTCATTCTACTCTAAAGAGAATAATCAAAAAGATTATGTCAAATGTCTTGATAAAATATGGACACACAACAACTATCATATTTCTCTGATCTAGAAATGTGCCTGCAAGTAAAATTCCGGTGTTTTCATACAAAGTCCACCCTCCTTCATTTCACAGATGAACCAATAGGGCTAAAAAGACTTTAGTGTGCCCAATAACACTTCTAAATGCACGACTGGAATTGGCCTTAAAATTCAATGTTCTTTCTACTAGCTGGCTCGTACATAAGTGGGAATGTTCATTTATATTAACTGTATCAACTTAAATTTTAATTTGTTAAAATGAGATCAGATTTGAGAATGAACATTGAAGATAAGGGGTTCTATGAATACAATTATAGATATGTTAGGGTATACAGTGTTACATGAGAAGTGGGAGGTAAATCTTTATTACAAGCTCTATACCATGTTCTTGCTTCTTGTCACTTATTACTCTTTTTTACCTGAACCTTTACTCACCCCATTTATTTCATATACTTTCATTAAAAATTTTAAGACTTTGGAGATTATTAAGGTCAACCTCTTTCTGATTCGGGGGGAAGGCAAGATTGAGCCCAAAGTTACACAGCAAGTTCAGAGCACAGTTGGAATAAAAACCTGGTCCTTCTTCTTAACATAGTGTTTAGTACATCCAAGATTTTCTACCTTAGATCAATGCTGCCTTCACCCCTATTCAACATCAACATAAATCAGACACAATGTAACTTAAACTAGTCCCGGCATCAGTTCTACTATCTCCCTAACTGCTATAGGCCAGAAGATACTATCAAATGAATACACAGAACCAAAAACATGGCAAGGTCAAAGGAAAATTGGAGCTTCACCCCTGTTCTCTTAGGGGCACACCACTTGACAAGTATTCCACGCCTTCTCAACTCTGTTTATTCTCCACTCTTTACTCAGTGAATCAGGTCTGATTCAAGTAATTCTTTGTTTAACCTCTTTCTCACCTTAAAAATCTCTGTAGTTAAACTTAATTCACCCTTCCCTAGAGATTACTTTCTCTCTGTGAAGGTACTCCTATACATACTCTCTTCCATCACGAATAATCTTTATGTCTTCCTCAATTTGCTTCAGGTAACCCAACGCTGAAGCACCTCCTCTTGACCATGCTACCCTTTTCTTCATCCTCTACCAACTAATATCAAGTAACTAACATATAAATAAAATGATAAAAAATGGAGACATTAATACTAGTATCATCAGTAAATAATCTACATAGAAATGAGATAAAACTTTTCTAAGTATTATAAAAGAAATAAATAAGGAACTAAGAAAATAATGGGAGTTGGGGTCTATTCTAAAAAGGGATTGGTCAGAGAAAAGCTTCTCTGAAAAAAAAAAAAGGGGGGGGAGGGAAGCATTTAAACTGAGGTTTAAATCATAAGAAAAAGGAAAGTGGTAAAAAACCATTAAAAAAATTGAAACTTATAAGTGCAAAGGTATGGAGAGTCTGCCATTTTTAAAGACATTTTTAAAAGGCAATGGTGGCTCTATCACTGTGCAAATGAAAAAAACTAGTGTAATTAAACCTACTGAAAAGACAAAGATTACCAGAGTAGCTAAAATAATTAAAGTAAACCCATCTACGTATTGCACAAAAGGCATGCAAAGTAAAATTACACCAAAAGTTAAAAAAATGTAGAAAATCATATGCCAGATGAATTCTAACAAGAAAAAACCTGGTACAGGAATAACAACAAATAAAACAACGAAATATTTTAAAACTTAAGTTCATCAATAAATATATAAAGAGAAACTCAAGAAGAAAAGTAATCAATCATGAACATGTACACAGCCACACTGGTATGCAATACAGCTCAGAAATATACACAGAAAAAATTTGAATAAGAAGAAACTGACAAATCTAAAATTAATAAATATTTTAACATGTTTTCTAGTGTATACCATGGCTTTCCACAAAGAAAGAACGTATCCTCTTTCCATGAATACATGGAAGAGCTACAAAAATTGAATACATAACAAGACACAAGACATCATTTCAAAGAAATGATGATATACAGTCTACATACTCTTTTTGGGTTTTTTGTTTGTTTGTTTGTTTGTTTGTTTTTCAGATGGAATCTCACTCTGTCACCCAGGCTGCAGTGCAGTGGCATGATCTCTGCTCACTGCAACCTCCACCTCCCAGTTCAGGTGATTCTCATGCCTCAGCCTCCTAAGTAGCTGGGATTACAGATGTGCGCCGCTACGCCCAGCTAATTTTTGTATTTTTCGTAGAGACGGGGATTCACCATTTTGGCTAGGTGGTCTCAAATTTCCGACCTCAGGTGATCCACCCACCTTTGCCTCCCAAAGTCAGTCTACATATTCTTTAACAACAGTGCAATTTAGTTAGAAATCAACAGTTTTTTTTTTAAAGGTTAAAATAAAATCCTTTTGTTTGAAAACTTAAACGTGTAGTTCCTAATAAATCATGGGTTACAGAAGAAATCACAATGGAAATCACAAAATATTTAAAACTGAATGACAACAAAAGTAATACATGTCAAAATCTACCAGAAACAGTACTTACAAGTAATTTATATCCTTATAGGCCTAAAAGTCTTAAATGAAGAAAGCAAGGAGTAAACACAATAAAACGGAAGGAAGAAAATAATAACAAAAATATGTATTATTAATAAAATAGGAAAAAGCAACAGAAAGGATTAACAAGATAAAACTTCTTTTTTGAGCAGACTAACAGATGACAAAAATACTAGGTATGACTGATTTAAGGAGAGGGATGAAAGATGTATGTGCAGGAAGGTAAGTGCTCAAACAATCCTGGGAACAAACATAGAGGAAATAACTACAAACAAAGAAGGAACACTTTTAACAATAAGAACACTATAAATACAGTAACTTTATGCCGATAAATCTGATATATATGAAATAAGTAATTTTCTATAAAAATAAAAGAATTTGAAAACAGTAACTAAAAAAACCCATCCACCCACTTCAATACCATCTTAGGTTTTACCAAATTTTCAAGGCTCAACCCATTTCTCTTATTCAAACTGCTTCAACAAATGATGTGATGAATTAACATCAGCAAATCTATGAAACTAATACAATGCATTAACAGATGAATGAGAAAAATCAAAGAATCTATCTCAATACCTAGGAAAGAAGCATATGTTAAATTTCAGAAAAAAGTTCAATAATAATTATTTTTAAAACTCTTAGGGAACTCTAGGAATCAAAAGGAACTGACCAAAACAGATAAAGCAATTGTCTTGCTTCATGTCAAAACTTTAGAAGAATCCCTTTTAAAAAATGGAGCAAAACAAAGATAACTGCTTTTCTACACAACACTGCCCTAGATATCCAAGTCAATGCAATAAGACAAGAAAAGAAAAAAGGTGGTATAAAAATTAGAAAGGGGCCGGGTGCAGTGGCTCATGCCTGTAATCCAAGCACTTTGGGAGGCAGAGGCGGGCGGATCACGAGGTCAGGAGATTGAGACCATCCTGGCTAACACAGTGAAACCCAGTCTTTACTAAAAACACAAACACACACACACAAAAATTAGCCTGGCATGGTGGCGGGCGCCTGTGGTCCCAGCTACTCAGGAGGCTGAGGCAGAAGAATGGTGTGAACACAGGAGGTGGAGCTTGCAAGAAGCTGAGATTGGGCCACTGCACTCCAGCCTGGGCAACAGAGCGAGACTCTGTCCAAAAAAAGAAGAGAGAAGAGAAGAGAAGGAGGGGAGGGGAGGGGAGGGGAGGGGGGACGGGACGGGACGGGACGGGAGAAAAGAAAAAAGAAAAGAAAAGAAAAGAAAAGAAAAGAAAAGAAAAGAAAAGAAAAGAAAAGAAAAGAAAAGAAAAGAAAAGAAAAGAAAAGAAGGAAGGAAGGAAGGAAGGAAGGAAGGAAGGAAGGAAGGAAAGAAAGAGAGAAAGAAAAAAAGAAAGAAAGTGGTGATGCTATCTTTATTTGCAGATGGATATAATTTTCTTGGATTTCCTATGTAGACAATACATAGACTAAGAGAACTAACAAAAGAGATCAAGCATGTAGATAAGGTTGGTAGATACAAGTTCAACAATAGTTGTACTCCTACAAAAAACTTAGAAAATAAAATGGGGAAAAATATATCCCATTAGCAATAGCAATAAAAACTGTAAGGTACCCAGAAAATAAACCAATAAAAGACAGCTTAGGTTTCTATGGAGAAATTTATAGATGAGTCTGTTTGAAGAATATAAAAGAATATATGAAGTCTTTTAAAAGATGTATCATATATTCCTGGATATAATAAATACCATAAAGATTATAATTTCCCAAAATGATCTAAAAATTCCATGTAATTCTAATCAATAGCCCAAGTTTTTGACAAGCTGATTCTAAAATTCATATAGAACACAGAGTCAAGAATAGCCAACCCAATTTTAAAGAAAAAAACAAGTGAGAGACAACCTGCTAGTATCACTATTTATAATTAAACCATGGTAATTATAACAGGATAATAATGACTCAAGGACAAAGAGGCCAATGGAACAGAACAGGAAACTCAGAAATCAACCCTCCAATGGCCCAGTAATCCCCAACACCCAGCCCCAGTTACCCTTCTAACCAAATTGCCTATTGCTCTCTCCCCTTTCTTCTCTGCATTCCAGCCTAATAAGCTATTATTCAAACAATCACAATTTGAAATTACTGTTCCCTGTGCCTAGAATTTTCTTCCTTTCAGATACCGACATGGCTCCTCTCTTTACTTCTTACAAGTTTTCCTTAAATGCCAGCACCTCATCAAGACTGTTCTTCCTGACAAAATTTAAAGTTACAACCGCCATGGGTCTCTTCCCTATTTTTTTTCCAATAGCACTCATCACACTGATACACTAACCACAGTGCTCAGAGGTTCTGTGCACCTAAAAACAATTTGCAAACTATAAGTCTCTCTCTACATTATGTTCTTTCTATAGATACTGGAAACAAAGGGAGATGAGGCTGAGAGTGACAGGAAGGAGGAGAGGAGACAAGGAGAAAGGAAAAGAAGACGGATGGGAGAGGAAATGATGGTAGAGCAGAGAGGGAGAAGAATATAGGAAAGGGTGGCGGGGAGAAGGAAGTGAAGAAGAGGAAGAGAGGGAGAAGATGATGGGGTAGAAAAAAGGTTTCTGGGATCTACTTAGGACTGTGGTGTATGAGTTTGATTGGGTTTTGTTTTTTTAAAAAAAAACACATTCAAGAATATAATTATAGCACTGGAAAGCGTTCATCTTAAGGACTTTATAGAGGGGTTTGTTCCACAGCTTTACACTTGCCACCTTTTTTATTTTTAAAAATCAATGTGTAAATTTTGAGGAATAAAACTAAGTAAAACAAATGCTAGAATATTTCTGACTAATAAACACCTGGGCTTATACCTGAAATTCGTTCACAAGAACATCATTTTAAGTGCCCTACACAAACACTACTGATAAAGACAGGAAACCACTATAAAAATTATTAAACTATTTTCAAAATAAAAACTATAAAAACTTCTTAATTCAAGTGCATTACATGACTTAGGGAAGTTTATTCAAGTTAAAAACCCTTTTCACTGGGTGCCTTATTTTCATATTTCACAAGTGTTACAAGTATGTCTCCAAATATTTCTCCAGATGTTTCTAACTCTTTATTCCAAGCTTCAAAGATCTATTTCTTCCAGAATTAAAGTAAAAAAAAGACCATCAAAATATATTGTTTCAAAGTACCTCTGGGTAAATATGGTCATGTCAGTTTGTGAGTAGTACAAGATCCTCACTCCTACACGTCACCTTGGAGCTTCCCTAGATATCAGGATTTTAAATAACATATTTTTGGTTCTCTAAAGTATGAATCATGAGTGTGTGTGTGTGTGTATGTGTGTACATATATTCCTTTTATATACATATAACAGGAAACTGTGTTAGAGAAAGCCCATCTACTGCTTAAGTACTGAATAGCTAAACACAACATAAACCTATTCCCTCCTGGCAATTACTGTAAAAAGGAAACATTCAATATTAGCACTCGTATACAATCACTCCATGAGCTACTTCTCCAGCCTCACTCAAACAGTCAAACTACTTCAAGACTGAACGCTCTCTGTGAGTGCCACTCTGGTTCATATCTCTATGGTTCTGCTTGCGTTGATGTTTTGCTTAGAATAAACTTCTCCTATTGTTCATCTAACCCCTATTTATATTTTCCATGAAATTACCTTTAAAGCCCCAGAATAGACTAAAATGCTCCTACACATCTCTGTGTATACCTCAATCACAGCACTTCGATTTTTATAAGTTTATGTTTAGCCCATCTTACTAAATTTTGTGAGGACAGGAATCATATTTTACCTATCATTTTGGACCCCAGTACTTAGTATGGTGCTTGCCATAGGTAGATGCTACATTAGAGTTTCTGATACATTATAACATTCCCCTAAAATTTTCTGGCATTTTACTAGAAGACTCAGAAATAAATAAAGCCTAGAATTCTGAGTCATGAGGTGCGGAAGAACACAAATGTAAAGCTCTGATAGTCCAGCGAGGCATACACCAGGAGATACACATCATTAGCCTTGAGAACAATCTCTCTACGCATTCTTCTGAAGGGAGCCTGCATGAGGCATATTCCTGATAGCTATGGAGAATAATACAGTGTTGACTCTCTTTGTAGCCTAAGGTAGCCTATATTCTCTGGGCTAGAAAGGTGACTAGCATAGCAGTCCGACATCCGTTCCACTTTCTCCATAGTCTTCTCATATTACCTCTTCCCACGGAGATCTCTTTCTTCTCTGCTACCAACAGTACTCACCTCTCACTGGGCACCCATACTAACAGAGAAACTCAGGCTGGGTCACACCTGTAATCCCAGCACTTTGGGAGGCCAAGGTGGGTAGATCACCTGAGGTTGGGAGTTCAAGACCAGCCTGGCCAACATGGTGTAACCCTGTCTCTACTAAAAATACAAAAATTAGCCAGGCGTGGTGGCACAGGCTGTAATCCCAGATACTCGGGAGGCTGAGGCAGAAGAATCACTTGAACCTGGGAGGCGGAGGTTGCAGTGAGCCGAGATCGCGCCACTGCACTCCAGCCTGAACGAAAAAGCGAGACTGTCTCAAAAACAAAAACAAAACAAAACAAAACAAAAAGCAGAGAAACTCACTGAACAAACATTCACTAAGCGCACCTATCTTTGTGCCAGACACTGTGCTAGATTTAGGGATGTATACATAAATAAGAGCAGATAGCGCTTGGGTATTTTACAGTTTCCTGAGCAAACTACATAAAAACCTTCAAAAGGAACAAAAATATACAAGCGTGAAACTATGGTACTCACTGGCATGCACAGCAAGAGCCCAAAGACTTTAAAAGAGGCAGAAATATAAAGGGGGAAAAATTCTGGTAGGACACGTCAGCCAAAATTTTGTGCTTTAATACCAAATCACTAAAAACAACAATAATAAATCCCTCAATATATAATTATAATGCTGTATCTTATACTGTTTGTAAACTATGCAATCTTTACAATTTCTATAAAGAATGGTTGCAACTCATGGAGCAAGGCAAGAGGTAGCAGGATACATTTTCCTATCATTTATAAGGTATCATATAACTCACTTAAGCTATATAATATATTTTGTAATGGCTAAAATTCTATATTCTCAAGGTCCAGTAAGTAACACTAAAACTATATTCTTATTAATTAATTAATTAATTTATTTAGAGACAGGGTCTCGTTCTGTCACTCAGGCTGGAATGCAGTGGCGCGATCATGACTCACTGCAGCCTCGACCTCCCAAGATCCAGCGATTCTCCCACCTACGCCTCCCGAGTAGCTGGGACCCCAAGCACACGCCACCACACCCAGCTAATTTTTACATTTTTGGTAGAGACGGGGTTTTGCTACGTTGCCCAGGATCGTCTCGAAGGACCCACCCACCTCAGCCTCCCAAAGTGCTGGGATTACAGACCTGAGCCACCATACCCAGCCAAAAACTATGTTCTAATAGGGAAAGAAATTTGTTTTCACTCTATCCTTCCAACTTCATCTCTCACTATTTTAATTTATATGTCCAATGCCTCCATTGCCCAATTTGCTTCCTTCACAGGGCTTGTCATAATTTACAACTATTAATATTTCATTTATTTTGATGGTCTCCCTCACCATAATGTGAGCTCCATGAGGGTAGAAACCATGTCTGTCCCCTGCCTTCTGTAACCCCAGCAACTAGCATACTGCATGGCACACAAAACCTAATATTCACCAGATAGATGAATGCAGTTTCAGTCATAACCAAAGATTAAATTACTTTTCTTTAGAAAGTTTCATCATGAGAAGAACAAGAACAACTGATATACACAGTGAAGATTTTTAAAGCTGAAAGAAGTTTAATCATCAATAGGAGAAAATAATATGTGTCTAGCTATTTAAAAAATATCTTTTAAGACTTTTTACTTAAGAAACACAAGGGGTTGGTGTGGGTTACAACTGGGGTAGTTGGGAAAGGACTTGTATAAATGCAAAAGAAGAAACTAGTGCTCCAGATCATTTTATTCTCTTACAATATTCTAAATCCTCTAAAAAGATATTTTTACTTCTCACGTTGAGTTTTAGAATGCAACTATTACATGTGCTTTCAAAACGTATTATGAATATTAATACACTCCTTTTCATGGTGTAAAAGTGTTTTGATAACAGATTCTCAATGCAAAATGCATTCGGATAATTGTATCTAAATGCTTTCTGTGGTATGAACTTATCTATTAAAATTTTCAAAGTTGCCATTAATCAAGCCTCTTGCCAGAAGCAATTTGCCTCAATATATAGATCCTTATTTGGGAATATTTTGCTAATATTACTTTACCACTTACTCTCCTTAAAAATGTAGTTTACTTTGGCACCACTCACAAAGACTATGTTGAGGTCCTTTGCTTGCAGGTATACTGAGTTTTCTTTTATCGGACAGGCCTTAACTTTTACCTCCTTTTCAAAAGACAGTGGCATTATAGTATCCACATAATGAGACTTGATTAAATTATTTTGTGAGGCTCTGAGGTACTCTTACTATTTCATATATCTTCTCTTTCAACTATAAGTTAAACCTGATTACAAGGCAATGAAAACGTCCAGGAAAGTTAATTGCACATAATTTTCTAAAATGAGGCATAGTACTTGTATATTACTACTAAATCACCATTACAGTTCTATGAATAATCACCCTCCTGAGAAAAAGTTACCAAGTACATTATTACAATACAAAAGCGCCTCATGGAACATTTTACCTACACCTATACCTACATAAACACATATTGAGCATCCCTAATCCAAAAATCAGAAATGTTCCAAAATCCAAAATTTTTGAGTGCCTACATGACACCACAAGGAGAAAACTCCACACATGACCTCATGTGACAGGTTACAGTCAAAATGCAGTCAAAACTTTGTTTTATGCACAAAAATATTTTTAAAATATTGTATAAAATAACCTTCAGGCTGTATGTACAAGGTATATATGAAACAAATGAATTGCACATTTAGACTTGGGTTCCATCCCCAAGATAACTCATTTTGTATATTCAGATATTCTGAAATCCGATGAAATCTGAAATCCAAAACGTTCTGATCCCAAGCATTTCAGATATGGGATACTCAATCTGTATAAGAGCAAAGTTAGCAAGCCCCATGGTCGCTGTTTTCTACCCTTCTATCCTCAATTCTAAGTTGTTCTCTGGCAGTAAGTTTGACACTTGGGTAGTGCGTTATAAATTCTTCCAGACTGTAGGATACCATTCCCAGCACCGTAGTGGTATCAGAGAAGCAGCACACTTTGTGTTAATGAAAAAATGGTGTTCTACTGGCCTACGGGACTTAATTCTCCCTGGGTACATCACTTATTAAGAGCAAGTGATAGTGAAGAGGCCGTGACTCAGTATGTCCTTAATTCAAAGAGTCGAAGAGGCTGAGGGGTCCCACTCCGGTAGTAAAAACTAATATAATTTTCAAGATGCCAAAATAGATATAAGAGCTGCTCTAGTCAGTGATGCGTGCTTGAAAAACCAGAAGCCAACATACGTAAGATTTGAGGATTATGAAAGTCATCTTACTAAAATCTCTCCTGAGGTTACTAAACTAGCCAGATTATCTAGTCACAGTCTCTGGACAGCACTTTGAGAATTCAATGGGGAGTGTGTCTGACAGAACACACAGATTAAAGTGGAATTTATATTAGGTAAACTGTAACCACCAAAGTATTTTTATTGCTTACTTTAAGACATGCTTGGAATTCTTTTTTTTTTTTTTAAATATAAAACCTTTCATCCGTTTTGGAGGTTACTTTAAAGATAGGGACAAGCAAGGTATAAGACATGGGGGATGATGAGGAACCACATAAATTTTTCTACTGTTTTTCTCATTAAATACTAAGGCATTATATATCACTGTGAACAATCAAGGATCAACTGACACTGAAATACTGCCAAGACTGCACATATTCTATTGACTCCCTGCCTAACTCCATAGCTCCCTATTGCTAAACTGAAATGGTGTACCTTCCCAAATTACAAAATGTGTCTCATTGTACACCTTAAAATCAGGAATGTTTATGTTTTACAAAAACATCCAACCATTATGACAGATTCTGACACCCATGGGGGAGCAAGTGGCAGTCATGGTGGAATTCTTGCCAGCTTGAAAGAAACATAGGGACAGACCTCTGACATCTGCCTAGATTCTCAAGCCTGGCTCACAGTGGGAGAAATGACCCGCCAAAAGAGTGTAAAACAGATGGAAGTTCCAACATGCTGCCCTTCATCAGGTCAACAGCAGCAAGCAGGACTTTACCTATGCGGTCAAAAGGCCAAAAAAAAAAAAAAAAAAAAAAAAAAAGGAGAACCTGCTAACGAGTACTGGTGCTAGCTAGGTATGCAGCCTTTCTTATAGAACGTTATTTCCCCATAATCTACTATTGCATTTTCCATCCATCCTTATTTTTTCCTCTATCCGTATTTCCTCATCTATTTTTTTTTCCCGCCTCGTTAAATTTACTATATGAAAGCTACCTTAAATACTTCTCTAATGAGATGAGGCAGGAAAAAGAGAAGGGAAGGACCCATGTTCGTATTCTTCCCCCCACACTCCAATTCTATCTAAAAAACTGATAAAGCTATAATATTTATTTAAAGGAAGCTAGTATACAACTACTGTATAACATAAAATTATTTTCTGTGTCTATTCACCGTAATGATTCTAGTTATATTTTTAAAGGCACTGCTTAGCACAAATATAGCACAAAAGAAATCTACCTTTTCACATCACTATTTCAGAGCTAGCAGCTGGCACTCACTGTGGCTTGGCATCTTCTTTAAAGGCCTTCCAACATTTGGCATTAGCCTTTCAGAGACCAGGGCCTTTCATACTCAGCACTGTTGCAAAATGTCTTACTCACTAGTACTCAAAGAAGGCCCCAGTTTCCCAGCAAAAGAGAAATAAAATTGGAGCTAACGCTTATTTGGTAGAATGCTATTATCAGCAAATACTTGTCTTCCATACTCTTCCCATGCCATAGAGCTACACCAGAGGCAGGTTTTCTTTTTCTTTCATCAAAACACAGTATGGCCTTCAACCATCTGCATTGCTCATGATCCCAACTCCTCTATCCCTAACATAAATCTCATAATTCTAAATACACTGATAAGCCCCTAGAGGATTTAAGGCAAGGAAATTACCATGGTCTCATTTATATTTTGAGATCACTTTAGGTGCAATTCATTATGAAGGAGTTAAAAGGAGAGGCAGAGATGACAGCTAGAAGGCTATGATGGCAGCCCAAGTGAGAGAAAAGCTTGGTTTATATGAGGGGGTAGCAGTGGAGATGAAAAAAGCATGAGTTCAAGATGTATTTTAGAAACAGGGCTGACATGACACTCAAGCAGAGACACCATGAAGGCGGTAAGACACATTAGTTAGTATGGAACTGAGGAAAGAGGTCGGGGCGAGATACCACCATTTTGGAGATATCCCTTACAGATGGTATTTAAAGGCAGTAGGGTGAGTGAGAGCACCTAGGTGTGAGTGTGAGAGACTGCAGACGCACAGAAAGCGACATGGCTCAACCAGTGCCCTACTGCCGTCAGCTTCTTTTAAGGGGGATGGGAGAAAACAAATGCCACAACGTTTTCTGTAAGCTAGTACACGATGCATAGCTCTCAGTGATATGTCTCCCAACAATAGGTAAAGAGAAAAAAGAAAATTGTGGTGTTTTTTTCCTTAATTTTTGTTCATTTTAGTAACAGAAGCTTTCCGTTCAACCTCATGCATAAACACACTTCCAACGGCAGTTTAATGAATTTATTAGCTGAATCAAACTAATCCATTCATATTTTCTCCTTTTAAAAAGTTAGAATTCACTTAGTAAGAAAATTCACTGAAAACAAATAATGAAGTTATAAGATACTATTTGAATCAAATTATCATTTGAATACAGGATTTCCTAATTAGTAATCACAACTACAAAATCTGATTAATATCACAACCTGAATAGTAACTAACAATAAATGAAATAATCACACAATCTATTTTACATGAAATTCAGAGATTTCCACTTTAAGGTTCTCCTTTCATAATGCTAATGAAAGTGGAATTCAGTAGTCATTGCCTTTCTTTGGATCAGCCAGGTCATTTACTCAAAAAATAAAAGATTCCATCAGATCTACCACTTTCCCACTGAATGACTCAGACGGACTTATTTCCTGATTTTTAAACTCGTATCAGAACTGGAAACTACTCAAACTCCCATCAATCCATTCTACAATGGATAAATAAATTAGGATATAGTCACACAGTGGAATAGTATACAGCATATAGAGTTGGCTTAAAATTCCACTATAGCTTGTATATGTTTAGGAGTCCTCAAAAAAAAAAAAAAAATGAAAGGGGATTTTAACTGATAACAGGAGGCAACTACATGTGATTGGCAAATCAAGCAAAAGTACTTGTATGATGCATCAATTGACCTAGATGTAGACAATCTACAGAATTAGTACGGGAGGGATAGTAATGAGAACCCCATGGGAAAGTGCTTCTCAAGCCCATTTCCCCTAAAAACTATAGGTGTAGGGAGCCAGTGTTACTAATGAACACGTGCTCCATACATCAGACAGGCTGGGGCAGAAAATGCTAAAATCAGTAATTAAAAACAAGGGAACAGGTATGGTTTAGCTCTGTGTCCCCACCCAAATCTCATCTCGAATTGTAATCCTCATGTGTTGAGGGAGGGGCCAGGTAGAAGGTGACTGGACCTTGGGGATGGACATACCTCTTGCTGTTCTCATGACAGAGTTACTTCTCAGGAGATCTGGCTGTTTGATGAGTATGTGTGTGTCTCTCCCCTGCTTTGCAGTGGAAAGATGTGCCTTGCTTCCCCTTTGCCTTCTACCACGATTGTAAGTCTCCTGAGGACTCCTCTGTCATGCTGAACCATGAGTCAATTAAACCTATTTTCTTTATAAATTACCAAGTCTCAGGTAGTTCTTTATAGCAGTGCGAAAATGGACTAATACAGGCCCGAAGAGATCTGTTCTACTACAGCTCTGTGCTAACTGGACCATGCCTGGAATGTTCTGTTTAATTCTGAATACCATAGTTGAAAAGAATTTTGTATAAAGTAAAACATATGCAAGGCTGGGCGCGGTGGCTCATGCCTGCAATCCCAGCACTTTGGGAGGCCAAGGCGGGTGGATCATAAGGTCAGGAGATCAAGACCATCCTGGCTAACACGGTGAAACCCCGTCTCTACCAAAAATTAGCTGGGTGTGGTGGCAAGAACCTGTAGTCCCAGCTACTCAGGAGCCTGAGGCAGGAGAATCGCCTGAACCCGAGAGCCGGAGATTGCAGTGAGCCAAGATCGTGCCACTGCACTCCGACCTGGGCGACAGAGCGAGACTCTGTCTCAAAACAGACAGACAAACAAACAAACAAACAAACCATATTCAAAGGAGAGTGACCAAAAGAACTTAAAGCCACCCAACATGACAAATGAAAGAAATGGAGAAATTTAGCCAAGAGGAGACAACTCAGGAGAGAGATAAAAACAATTTTTCAGTGCACAGGTTATACTCAAGTACACCATGCCATGAAACCTATTTTACTCAGCACTGTATTTTAAAACTATTGTTAGAATAGTAATTGCCCTCCTCCAATAGTGGTAAATATAAATTTTAAAAATTGATCAAAATGTGGCAACAGACTGGTCAATACTTCATAGTATACCAGAGGGCTCAGGCACACCAGCCAAGTACCACTGATGAAGACACTGCAGAAAATAGACTTCAACTCAATATAAAGACTAGCTTTCTAACTGGGTTATTTAAAGAATAAACAGGCTTACAAGAAAGGTACCATCTTGGCTATCCCTGAAAGTGTAATGAAGGAAACTTGAGTGTTGGAAGGGATGAGGGGCAGGATGCCTTTAATGGCACCTTCAGTCCTATGATTCTGATGATTCTGTATCTTGATTCTCAGATAAGCTGTGCCTGTTTTAAAATATCCCATACAGGCTGATTACTCAGAAGCAGATAGAATAATGGAAGGCAAGGCACATCAAATTATAAGGGAAAGATGAGATGTGGTGAGACAAGGTAGAGAGAAATATCTTGAAGATACCATTCTAAAACTTGAAATTTATATTACTAGTAAAGCCACATATACATGAATTCTTAAATCAGCCCCCTGAATCAAACTTTTCTGCTTTTTTATTACCAGGAGTACTATTTGAAAGCAGAACTTACATGATTTACATTTTGTTTATAAAAGCAGCAATATAACAGAGGTGAATAAACACACATTTCTTCTCCCTGGAAAGGACAGATGAGGCTGATAGCGTAAAAAAAAACCCAGCATCCTGTCTGACTGAAGTATTAGCCTATGAGGTGGAATGAGAAAAATCAGTATTGTTTGAATAGAAATAATTATAAAAAGAAGGAAATTTTATCTGGGTATGGTGCCATTACACTGTTTACCCTCAAGAGCTGAAGTCTCAGTTCAATTCTTTCAAGGATAAAGGGCTATATTTACCCACTGTTAGCCGATGTTCATGTTAAACAAAGCCCTCACAGAACGTAAACTTTTAATTTTTTTATTCAGTAACATTTAACTTCTTTCTGTGCCTGGGGTCATCACTGGTAAGAATTCCAAGAAATATTCATTCTGTGGAGATACATTCAGCTATCCTGGAAGAAGAACTGTACCACCTTAAACCTCAGGAATGGTTCTATCCCCCTCTCCCATTTAATCATGATACTCTGAATCCCTTCTGCATCAATTATGCATACAATAGAGTACAGTACATAAAACCACAATAAGCAATACAGAAAAAAAAGGATTAAAGCCACGAAAAATGTATTAATTTATTCTATGCAATGCACTTGTAATTCTTCCACTTTCAGTCAAGATCACAGTACAGTTTAATAGTCTGGTTCAGGGACCAATTAATCCTTTTATATTTAAATCAATCACTGACTCCTCTCCGAATAATTTAGCTTCTACATGCTGCCTCCCATTTGATGTCTTTGGGGGAAAGAGCACAGTTAACACTATGTGGTACATTAATCATGTTTAGTAACAGAAAAAGAAATGCATTATCAGAGAAATCTAATACAAAAAGTAAAACATGCTCTAAAACATGTTAGGATAATCAGTACATGTGTCACATTTTTCTTAATAAAAGCAGGCAAGTTAAACTGGGAACCAAGAGTATACTCTTCATCTGGCTTTTCATAGTATGTGTGCATGCATGTATCTATTTATCTTGACTATGTATAAATAGATATCCAGGAATAAAGCCACTCAGCTCAATCCATACCCCTACGCACTGGCAGATTCTTCTCCATCCCAACCTAAAGCAAATGACTTGATGATGCTCAAACAGTGGGGAAGGGGAAAAGTAATAGAAAGGCATGTATTTTATTCAAACTGGCATATGTTTGGCACTTTGCCACAAAGCTGAGTCCTTTTCCTAGAACAACTCAGAAGCCTAATTAATAGGGTTAATTCAATGTAATATTCATGTGTAGTCTAAAGATTCTTACCACTGCATATAAAGCAGATGTCCATGTTTTAAGAATATTTTCTCTAAACAAATGTGTCAAGAAAGCATTAAGAGTTCATGTGACCAAGAATAACGCCATTGTACTATATGCTAGCTCTATTTTAACCAACAGCAAGAGAAGGAGGTCCTCTTTTTTGTTCCTGGATCTTAATCACAAGAATAAATCAACTTGGTATTCTAGTGCCCACCCCATGGATTACAAATGCAGGATTTAGTTTCAGAAATTTCAAAGCCAACTTAAGCACTTTTCAAATGTTCCATAAGTAAGTGTTTTCAAAAAAATTAACCAATTAAGTTTCTATGTAGATTCAGCACTGAGAAAAGTGAAGTCTGTATCTTGGCATAACCCGAATGTATTGCTGACTCAGGAGCTCTGCCAGTTCAAACAACTCCACACGAAAGAAAGCGCAAGTGAATGTTAGCTCTGTGTTCACTTCACACCAACACAGAGAAATCAAATGGTCAAAGTTTAAGACCAGCTCTGTGATACTAGTGGGAAGAAGAGTGAAAAAAGAGGCCATACTATAGGTGGAAATCCTAACTCCTAAGAACACACAACAGCATCTAAAGACAGATTCAAAAGCCTGGCTAGATTATCTCACTGAAGGAATATTTCTCTGAGCATGTGAGCTGAGACAACATTTGAGAATCTGGTAGACAACTATGACCCGCAAATAATCATCAGGTAGAAAAATATTGTCATCCTCACTAATCCCCGGAAAAGTCACATCAAAGAAACATCTGGAAAGAACCCAAGTCTTCTGTTTCTTTTTTAAGCCTCAGAATAGAACAGAACACCACTAATCAAGATTAAACAAGTGAACCAAAGCTCATCATCAAAAATCATCTCATCCCTAGAATATGAAGTTGTATCAGCTAACAAGCTACTGTCAACAGGATGAGTCTTGTGTCATTTTCATGGTGGCTTGGTAAATTTGGGTGGATCCATTCATACTCCTCTGTCTAGTTATGTCTGTCAAATGGTATGCAAACTGTATATGCAAAAAAGGGTATAGTAAGAGACCCTACAGATAACTACAAAACACACATAAATCCAAGGAGTTAAATGCAAGGAAAAGAGGGGGCCCCTCCTTCTCTATTTATTTGTTTGGGTAAAATGCACCGTTATATTTTAGTGACTTTCTCAGGCAGTAAATCCAAAGATGGAAAATATTACATGTTCTTTCTGGATTCAGTATAGAATAATGTTCAAAACGATAATAAAATGCCTAAAATCCTTTTGAACACTGGTGTTCCTTTCCTTTCTCTTCTCTGCTTTTAATCTGGTCATCCCAATCCTGGGCCTACATAGTACTGAGTCCCCCTGGCTGAGACAACAAATGAAAGCCTCAGCACATCCACAAACTGCCCTTCTCTCATGCTCAGCTCCTGTCTGAGCTGCTCTGAAAAATTCCCTCCCATCCTCTTGCTAGCAGAGGCTGTACTCGGCTTCTAGATGGGGGTCTTTGGTGCTTCTTAACTGCCTCTGATTTGGTAGGAGCTCTTCCTTTACTAGCCCCTGTGGACTTGTAACTAATTATTTAATCTATGGACAGTCTGTACTGAAAACTATGGTATGACATAAAATATGAGTCACAGCGTATCTGGTAATAGTATATATGTGGTGAAAAATGCTCTGCTATAAACCTCATATTTAACATAATTTGACCAACATTAACATAACAAATTTTCAAGTAAATAACATCATAAACATTAGGATTACCAAACGGGATCCAGTTCAGAGTTGCTATTGTATCAGCAGCCATCTTTAGACAGGTTACAAGTAAAATGGGAAAAGAAAAATATTAATGCAATAAAAATTATTAAGTCACAAAAAATGTTTAACCAGCCTTTCAAAATCACCAATAACAAGACATATTTTAGGTAGATAAATATATATATATTTCTATAATAAAGTATTTCTTTTATTACCAACTACCTAATAAAGTAGTAGGTAATCAATAAAAATTACATGCATGAAGTGACATTTCTAAGTCAATATATAAAATCAACTCTGGAGAAAGACATGCTTAAAAAAGAAAAAGCAGGCTTAGCATTTTATTTATAAAGCCAATATTAAAATGCAGTCTTATCATTCTCTAACTACTCTTTAACATACCATGTCTAAGTCAAAATATGGTAGGCTGGTTTATAGTCACTCACACACACAAAAAAGAATGTTCTGATATTTGTGAAACTGGAGTTCTGTTTGACAAGTGCTGAGTTTTTTATTTTCAAAAGCTGAATCAGCTAATTTTGAATAGTCAGTGTAAAAAACAAAAACACAAAGATGTTTGTCAAGATAAATAATATGAAGACACCCATCCATTGAAACATTGAAAAAAAAATCACAAAAGAAAAAGTTAATGCTCTGATACAAAATCTAAAGCCAAATGGATGTAAATAATTTCACATCCCAAAATAATAGGAGAAATGGCCATTTAAAAGAAATGTTGGATATTTAATGGCTTTGTCTTTTGTTACCTTCGTTACTCAGCACAACCCCAACTTCACATATATGAGAACATTTTAACAATATAGCAGTAAAACATAAAAATATAATTAAATAAAGATATTTGCTTCAATTTGTAAGGGAAATTTCTTGCAGTGCAATTTTAGTAGCAGGCAAAATCAGTGTAATATTTCATTCTCACTTCTATCTGTGTACGAGTAACTAAAAGTGTTTTTTAAAAGAAAGAAAAGGCCGGGTGCGGTGGCTCACGCCTGTAATCTCTGCACTTTGGGAGGACGAGACAGACGGATCACGAGGTCAGGAGATTGAGACCACCCTGGCTAACACAGTGAAACCCCGTCTCTACTAAAAATACAAAAAATTAGTCGGGCATGGTGGTGGGTGCCTGTAGTCCCAGCTACTTGGGAGGCTGAGGCAGGAGAATGGCATGAACCTGGGAGGCAGAGCTTGCAGTGAGCTGAGATCGCACCAATGCACTCCAGCCTGGGCGACAGAGTGAGACTCCCTCTCAAAAAAAGAAAAGAAAGAAAGAAAATGTCTTCATTTACTTGATAGCCAAGTAGGCTCTTCACCCAAGTTAGGCATCTCACAGGAATATAAAAGATGGCCAGGCGCAGAGGCTCATGCCTGTAATCCCAGCACTTTGGGACACCAAAGCGGGGAGATTGCTTGAGGCCAGGCATTTGAGACCAGACTGAGCAAAAGAGCAAGACCCTATCTCTACAAAAAGAAAAATAAAAAATTGGCCAGGCCTGGTAGCGCATGCTAGTAACCCTAGCTACTTGGGAGGCTGAGGTGAGAGCATCGCTTGAATCCAAAAGGTCAAGGCAACAGTGAGCCACGACTGCCACTGGACCCCAGCCTGGGTGACAGAGAAAGAGCCTGTCTTCAAAAACATAAATAAACAAGAAATAAAGACAAAAACATCAAGCTAGCTGTTGTACAGATTTATTGAAGAACTTTGTTGAGAGCAAGAAACACCATTTCTTTCATTTAATTTATAAGTGGGTTTTCTTTATCCAATATGCATACATCAGCTACATGATTCCAAGTGACATGTTCTTGATAGTCAATAAAATTTCAGCTAAAATAATGTTAGTAATTAGAAACAGAAAATTAAAGAAAATAGATTAAGATAACCAGGAAATAAAAATAGAGGCTGATGATAACGGTGTCAGGAAACAAGCCCCAAGTAAATCCTCCAGGGTCTTCTGACAGATCTAAGGTGTTTAACTAACGGTTTCTGTCCCATCCCTCTTCACCCTCAAGCAAAATCCTCCTGACCAAATCCCAGTCCTCACTCACTACAAGAAGTTTTGCCCATGTTCTACTGCCACATAACCTGTATATTTCATCTGAGGCATTTAGAAGCTGAGGTAGGTTTCCAGTACAGCCTTCCCTCTTGTTTTCTCTTTCAATAGTATGGAAAGGATAGATGGAGTTAAGAAAAAGAGTAAGGGAAGCTTGACCATAAAACATTTACTGAATGTGTTTTTATTCAGGCTAGTTTTCATGTAGTGTTGGGAAAAATCAGTTATGAGTTATACCTGCAAAGATCAAAGATATATGTTACTTTTTTTTTTTTTGAGACAAGTTGAAAAGCTTGTGTGTCGAACTACACCATGCCCAGCAACTTTACTTTTAATTGTTACTTCTAAAAACCCATTTACTACTCTCTGAACAACCTGGGAACTAAAATTTGAAAAAGAATAAATAAATCCGTGCCTATCACTAGTCACAAAGGAGAATGAATTAGGTAATAGTCCCCACTCTAGGAACTGAAAAAGGAATCAGAGTCACTGGGGCAGTGCTTCAGAAGACACTGTATATTACAGTGGGCTGAACTGGGATAGGAAGAGGGGATAATCAGAACTTAAAACTGTGGAAAAAAGAGACTGCACCTATCAGAGCCTGTAAACCTGCACATCATACATCAAGGAAGAGCCAGGGTAATGGCAGGAGTGGTAAGATACAGGGCAAGGAGAGGGGAGTCAAAACATTAGGCTAGTGCAATAGCTCAGAATGAAGTGATAGAAACTTAGAATGTGACAGTAAAAGTTGAAAAGAAACCAAAGAATACATTTTACAACTAGGCAAACCAAGAAGTATACCTTGTGATACCATATGGGCACCTTCTTCAGCTGATAATGCTTAAGAAATAAACTTATCTATGAATCAGAATGAAATTTTGTTTTTTTTTTAATATGCAGAAAAACTCTTTGGAGTTCAGGGTTAAGGGCAGAAAAATTGACTAAGAAGTTATCAATATTTTACTTGCTACTTTCTCTTATACCTTTCAATTGGAAAATGAGGCAGTGCCTAAGTTACAGACAGCCATTACCGTTATTGATTTCCATTTTTAAAATCAGTGTTTTTAATATTACTTTAAGGAGAGACAATGATATTCTAATATTCTTGTGCTGTCTCTACTTAAACCTTGTTCCCAAGGAAACAGCTAATGTCTCAATATCAGATCCTGCATAATCATGACTACAAAGGAAGTATGCTACAATAAGACATTTGCACTTTTAGCAGAGTGAAAATGACCAGCTTCTTCTGCCTTCCTAGCAAACAAAAGTCTCTGATTTTCATACAAAGACCAGCCCTTTCTACTAGACATATGCTGACAGGAACAGGTTACAGTATTAACATGATCTCATGTACAGAATGTTACTATTTTCAGTGGCATTCTGTTCCAGATGAAAACAAAGACACAACTGAAATCACCTTTATTTTTAGGCATTAGTGACTGTCTCTTTTGGAAGAGGCTCAGTTTTGAAGTCAGGCTTATTAAAGCATAGGTGGAGATAACTGCTCATAAACCATTATGGATGAACATATTTCCCAAGGCCAAAAGGCTTGAAATTAAAATGACTTAAATAAAAACAATGTTACAGATTTTTATTAGCCAAAACACCCCCACAACAAATAAGCATGGATCTTCTTAAATGTATCACATAATTTTTTTAATACTGAGTACACTTCTTTCACCTTTTATAACCAGCCCTTTTTCCAGATGAAGCACTTAAAATTTTGGCATGGCAAAAGAAAAAAATGATAGATGAATCATTTGCAGTTAGGAAAAAATAGACGAAGTATGGACATAATCACTGGCACAACCTCGAATTTACACTTCTGAAGAAATGCTTTTCGTTAAGGATTTACAAACATTCAAACCAGACAGTTCTAACATTATTGGTATTGAGCCTAAAAATATAACATGCATGGACATTTTATCTTGCCCAAAATATTCAAACAATTTAGGAAGGTGGACAAACTGAACACTTAGCCTCATATACCACACAGTGGAAGAAAATGTAAACACTAATTATAAAAACATCTGAGGACTACAATTCTAAGAGTTTTTCAAATGGCAGGAATCATAAAATCAATTTAATAGATTTCAACCAATATTTCTTAAATAGAATAGAATTGAAAATGTAAATAAAATTTCAGACTTATTTTAAGAAATGAGAGATACAAAAACACGTATGTACTACGTTGCAATGTAAGATCTATTCCTTTGAATGTAGTCAAAATAAATGGAAAGTTCTTGGAAGGATCAAATATTGTGTTAAGCCTCAATTTAACAACCCAATAACACAAGGATTTTTCATTACACTGGCCTGTTAAAATGTTCTGTTAAAGCCCAAAACCATAATTTATAACTAGATTGTTCTAGGGTGCGACTCCATGGAAGTTAAAATTATGACTCTAAGAGTTGAATTAACTCTTTAGTGGAACAAAATATAGCACAGCTTTCCCAATAATGGTAACCTGGCAGATCAGGACAAGTATATACATTTAGAAAATATGTGAGCGGGCACACAAAATCTTAAAATTGAAATGATAATTTCACCAAAACTTTACTGGACATGTCTGCAGCAATATCATTTTTCTGTGTACACATGGAACAGGTATCATCAATACTAAAACTCTAGAAATAAAATGTATCTACTGAATGTGAAACTAAAAATGAACACCACTGAGACACTCTAATAACCAGTGGCAGGAAGCCAAGTTCGGCTAATAGAAAAGTTGTAAAATTAACTAAAGACTTCTCCCCCTGAATTAAAAGTACACCCTACTTAGAAGATGGTAATTCTTTTTTTTTAATTAAATGGTTACACAAGCTCTACGTATAAGTATCAAGAGTCTCTAATTTAAGTGTATAAGGAAATTTACATCCATTGGCCGGGCACGGTGGCTCATGCTTGTAATCCCAGCACTTTGGGAGGCCAAGGAGGGTGGATCACATGAGATCAAGAGTTCGCAACCAGACTAGCCAACATGGTGAAACCCCGTCTCTACTAAAAATACAAAAAAATCAGCCAGGCGTGGTGGCACATGCCAGTAATCCCAGCTGTTCAGGAGGCTGAGGTAGGAGAATTGCTTGAACCTGGGAGATGGAGCTTGCAGTGAGCCGAGATCATGCACGCCAGCCTGGGCAACAGAGTGAGACTCCATCTCAAGAAAAACAACAACAAAAAAAAAAACCCAGAAATTTACATTCTTCAAATATAAGTGCTCATTTTTCAAATATTTAACAACATATCTTTAAATGTATATTGTACAAAACTGTATGCATAATACGGAAAAATACCTAAATTAGGAAGCCCAAATTTTACAAGTCAAATCCTAAGGAAATGGGTTGTTTATAGATTATCATACATCATAAGCAATTTCCACAGCATTAAAATGTTAAAGAATATTATATAGCATTTTAATAAAACATTTTTCAAAGATAAAAATAATAGAAATGAACAGGCCAGGCATGGTGGCTCACACCGAGATCCCACCACTGCACTCCAGCCTGGATGACAGAGCGAGACTCTGTCTCAAAAATATTGATAACAATAGAAATGAATTAATATTTAACTTCAATAATTTTTAAACTAGAAATACAGTTTTATTCTCTCCATAAAGGGAGTAAATAGCCTGTGCAGTTTCCTTTTAAATCATAATTTAAAAATTCTAATTAGCCTAGACATAAACTCTGAGGAGTAAATGTTGGCTACAGATCATATGCAAACAGCAATGATAAATGGCAACCAAGTACAGGCTGAATATCCTTTATTCAAAATGCTTGGAACCAGAAGAATATCGGATTTCAAACTTCTTTCGATTTTGGAATATCTGCATACACATAATAAGATATATTGGGAATGAGACCCAAGTCTGAATATGAAATTCATTTAGGTACATTTATATTACATATAATACCTTAAGCACACAAATCCTGAAGGTAATTTTGCACAATATGTTAAATAATTTTGTCTGTGAAACAAAGTTTTGACTGTGACCCATCTCATGAAGTCAAGCATGGAATTTTCCACTTATGACATCATGTGGGCACTCAAAAAGTTACAACTTTGGAGTATTTCAGATTTTGGACTGAACAGAGATAGCCACTGAGGAGCCAAGCTGACTGATATGAATGCAAGGAATAAGATGAAACATAGCCAAATTTCCAGCATTTAAAGAGATGTTAAGAAAACACTTGCCAAAAAGCCACAATCAAATTCTAGCTTGCCCTTCATTTCTAACAGCAGCAGTGGTAGCCGACCAGTTTTGTTTTTGAAATTTAATGTTTATTATGTACTTACCTACACACATACACACACACACACACACACACACATAAAACTATATAAGAACATTCTATACAGCTAAGAAACACAAAAACAGTTTCGTAGTGTTAAATGACTTGGATAATGCAAAGGTGTCATTCAGAGGCAAGGATTCGAATTCAAAGCCAGGAGTGACCCATGTTTTGTTAGCTCAAAGACATGACCTTACACACAGGATAGAGAAACAGAAAGGTCAGACTAAAGGGATGATTAAAGTCATTAGAAAATACAAAGGATGTGAGGGAGTGTTGCTGAGTCCTGTATTACAAGAAGTGGGTCTCTCGCTAGGTCAAAATCTCAATTTTGCCTTTAGGAATTTATTTGGTTCTGCAGGAGATAGAACCTAAAAGCATTAACTAATGAGAAAATTGCTCTAATATTTTACTGAACTATACTGTAGAAATTAATTCTTCATAACCCATTGAGAAAAATGTCTTGGTGCCATCCTAAAAGGGTGTTAAATCCATTGTGATCTTTGTGGGGGAAAAGTTGGAAAGCATCATTCACTCTTAAATGTCAGTTAGTTAAGAACAAAAATCACTAATCATGTGTTAAGATTCTGGTTTGCATTACACCATTTTGACAAATTAGCCATCCCAATCTTGCTTTGCTTAGGCTAATAGCACAAACTGCTTATATCCTCAGTCTCTGAGACAGACCCAGAGACTGGGAAGAGGAAGCAGGGGAACAGGGTGCTGGGTGCCTAGAAGATGCTAACCAGGTATGAAAAATTAACAAGGAAGAATTTACAAGAATAATCCATACATTAATTATGGAGTGTTTAATGTATTTTGATTAAATGAGAAAGTCAAATGCATTTCAGTAAAACTGATGGGCAACATATTAATAGTAAGTCATGTAAGGCAAGCATCATCATTAACGTCTTAAAAAGCACTGAATAAGCCTAAGACATTTTCTAGAAAATAAAATATATAATCCATTATTCCATTTATTATGCAAATATCTGTCTTTCTGAAAGATTTACGGAAAACATTTTCTCCATGTGTCATGCACTATGTAAGAAAGCAAGAAAACCACAGCACTAATTATAGTTTCTTATTAAAAAGTAAAAAATTCCTTTTTATTCAATGACTTCTAAATTATTGCACAGATACAAGTGATTAGGGAGTTAAAAACATGAGTAAAACATAAAACATAATCCCTATCCTTAAGGAATTTATACTCTTCTAGAAGAAAAAGTAAAATATGACCATAAATAAGTATAATCGAAGGTATACATAAATACCAGAAGAAAAGCTTAGGTCTGTAAAATTTAGGAAGACATTATTCTGGCTGAGAGAATCAAGAGGCACTGTGGAGGAGTTAGGACTAAAGTTGGGCCTGAAGGACTTTTAGGATTCGGATAATATGAGACTGGATGCTTAGAAAGGAAGGCTATCCAGGAAAGGAAATACTAAGAGTTATTAATATTTGAGTGTTTACTTTGCCAGGCAGTATTCTAAGTGTTTTAAATATATCCTTAATTCTCACAACAACTCTAAGGTAGGCATTAAATTATTACCCCTACTTTGAAGCAGAAGGGAGGAAGGGGAGGGAGCTAAAGTCACTTGCCTAAGGTCATATAACTTGGAAGGGGCAAAGTCATACTTTAGATCTGACTAATCAAAGATTCTACACTCTCAAAGCTCTGAACTTTACAACCTTAACTGAAATGGCATGATAAAAACTGGTTATAGTTCAGTAACCATTAGCAAAAGGCTTTCACCTTAAATCAGCTCATTTTAGCTCTTTTTACCTCTATAAAGCTCATTAGAGGTATGCTAGTATCCCCATTTTAGATGACACCACAAGCTCAAGGAGTTAAAGTAACTTCCCCAGGGTCACAGAGGCAAAGGTCCAGCTGATAATCAAACCTCGGCTTTGGCCTACAAGTCCAGTGTTTCATCACATCTACTTTACATTAGAAAGGCTGCTTACAAATTGTCTGCCAGCCGTGAAGTCCAAGACTTATGCAATGATGCCCCATTGTCCAGCAAGTTCCCCATGCTCACTGCTCTGCTCCACGTCAACACAAAGGGAATTCTGCCAAAGATTTCATTTGAAAAACAGTTCTACTACTTAGAGTAATTTAACAACTATTACACACACACACACACACAAACACACACACACACACACACGTACGTCTTACCCTCATTTCCTCCTGCATTTTCTCATGTTCTATACTCTGGTATCCAAATCCCACTCCAGAAAATATCATATCCCACACATCATGTCTTTCTCTTGGTTTAATATGTGTAATACCTTGATTAAAACCAAAATATATTCAGAATAAAAACCGAGTAACAATCATGTAACAATCAGTGAGAACTCTGCCAAAGTTTCCCACCACTCTACCTGTATACCTTCTTTGAGTACCTACTATTTAGAACTCCAAGAGTACAACTTAAGCATGTTAAGTACTTTTCTTTTGCACATGACTCTATAATAGCCTTACTTTCAAGCATAATCAGAAAAGAATAGCTTTCATGTAAACATTAATAACTAGATACTTAACGGTAATGACTCCTACTGTCCAGCTGAAATCCTATTTAAGTGATACAATCATCAGTAAAAAGCTCAAGGGCACCAGAATGATTAAAAGAAAAGACAATTCCAAGTGCGGACAGGACACACAACAACTTTCATATACAGCTGGTGAGAATCTAAGTTGGTACAGCCAGTTTGGAAAATTGCTTGGCAGTATCTATTAAAGCTGAACATGTGCCTGCTACTCTGTGTTTCAATATTCCACTCCTAGGTATATACCCAATAGAAAATATGTGCCAGAATGTTCTTAGCAGGATTATTCATAATAGCCCCAAAGTAATAATAAATCAATGTCAACCCACAGAATACATAAATTGTGGTATATTAACATGCAAGGGATTAAATAAAAATAAAAACAAACTGCAACTATACATAAGACAAATGGATTTCAGAAATTTAACACTGAGAGAAATAAGATACAAAACTCAGCATAAAGTATACGCTATTAACTAAATAAAGTTTAAAACTCTGTAAAATTGATCTACAGTGGTATTGAAATAGTGATCCCTTTGAGGGGGAAATGACTAAAAAGAGGCATAAGGGGTGCTTCTAAGAAGTTGGTAATATTGTTTCTTGATCTGAATGCTAGAAATAAGGATGTATACACCTTATAAAAGTTGATAAAGCTAAACACTTATGATGTACAAACATCTTAATTGTATATTTCAATAAAAAGATTTAAAAAATAATTCCAATAGAATGTTTTCAGAAAGTTCATTGCAAGTCGGATAATTAAAATAGGTGCAACTCAGAAGAAAAAGCATATTAACATGTAAACTTTCGATCCCTACTTTCAGAGATATAGAGGAGTCAAAGCACATTCACAAGAGAAGTTAGTTCTTTAAATGGTACACAATCCCTCCTATGAAGACCAAGATTTTAACAATGGTTTCACAACCGGCCTTTCCAAGAAGAGTTACAGAACTAATGCATTTCATAGCTGGGAAGGCCTTTAGAAAATGCCATGACCGGCCAGGTGCAGTGGCTCACACCTGTAATCCCAGCACTTTGGGAGGCTGAGGTGGGTGGATCACCTGAGGTCGGGAGTTCAAGACCAGCCTAGCCAACATAGTGAAACCCTGTCTCTACAAAACTACAAAAATTAGCCGGGCTTGATAGCGGGTGCCTGTAATCCCAGCTACTGGGGAGGCTGGAGGCACGAGAATCGCTTGAACCCAGGAGGCGGAGGTTGCAGTGAGCCAAGATTGTGCCATTGGACTCCAGCCTGGGCGACAGTGAGACTCCCCGTCTCCAAAAAAAAAAACAAAAAGAGAAAATGCCATGCATGACAACACCAAAATGAGCTTAGTTACTGACTTTAATAAGATTCACTAAACATCCAGGATGATATCCATAAGCTCCACGAGCAGACAACCACAGTACATAAGCAGAAGAGGATTAAAAGCCAAGATTTCATGGGTGGTTTAGTAAGCTGCTGGCAGCCCAAAGGTAAGTTTGTTAGGGTAGGACCCTCACCACAACACTAGCCACATTCTGAGTGATACAGGAAGCAACAAACTACAGCAATTACAAGCAAGAGTGTACAATCTGGCTTTAGTACACCACAACGACTAAAATTTTTGTCCTAATAATGTATGCATTTTCTAATAATTTATGAAGTTTCTTTTCTTGTTTTTTGTTTGTTTTTTTTTTGAGACAAAGTCTTACTCTTTCAGTCAGGCTAGAGTGCAGTGGCACAATCACGGCTCACTGCAGCCTCAACCTCCTGGGCTCAGGTGATTCTCAGCCTCCTATGTAGCTGGGACCTCAGGCACAGAGTTTTGTCATGTTGCCCAGGCTGATCTTGAACTCCTGGGCTCAAGCAATCTGTCCAGCTCTGAATTCCCAAAAGTGCTGGGATTACAGGCATGAGCCACTGTGCCTGGCCTGATTTATGAATAAAATTTCTTTATTCATAATAGCTGTCTACATTTGTAGGACCTTAGTTAAGACATGATTAAGTACTAGAATTAGTTCCAACTACTGCTGGTGATAAACTCACCATCTACCTTCACTTGTTTTCTCTTAATTCTCCAAGAAGTAATCAGGTGAATAAAGAATCATCATCAGATAATATTCTCCAAGATTCTTTAAGAAATTAATTTTTATCTACTCTTAAATGATTGCACAATTATAGGATAGAAATTACTATCTTGTGCTCTAATTCAAATTGCTCTTAATGATCCTAGAGAGAAATGAATTACTAGAGATAAAAGATAAATTTTGCTGTGGTTTGTGATCTTTGTTTCTTTCCTTAAAACTTAACAGACCTCTTTGTCTACCTCAAAAGATTTACTAAAATACAGAATATACTTCAGTTACTTAACACATACTTGGTTATTGTATTTTCTCCAAACTGACATAAGATCCTAAATCATTCTGGTAAAAGAATAAAAATGGTCTCTTTCTCTCATAAGATTTAAATGTATCACTGCGTCAGACAAGGTTAAATCAGAAGCCGAATCCCTGAAGAAAGCTAGTAGAGTCATTTAACAGAAAATGAAGTTGGCTAACACCTGAAGGAATAATTGTAGTAGAGTATTCCAAGTAGCTCGAACACAAGCCCATAAAATAAAGTCCTGTGAGGCAGACAGGAGTCCCAAAGAAACTGCAATTAATAATCCTCCTGGAACAGCAGAAGCACATTCCACATGAAAAGGTACAAAAAGGATAACAAAAAGATCAGCAGTAAGCCAGAGCGAAAATACCAAATTTCCAGCAACCAAACTGCAAAACTCTATCTAGCGTATTAGTTATTTTCTTCAGGGGTAGAACTAATTAGCTGCATTATGGGTGGTTCAGTATCCATATGATATCCACAGTTGGGTACCCTCTGACTGACTGATGGCAGAATATTCTGTCATCAGCACTCAGGTTCCAGAGAGAACTTTCTAGGCAATGGTCTAATAAATAAAGACGTAATGTTTTGTTTATGAGATGCTGTGACTCATCGCCTACTAGATAATCTTAATCTACCCCAAACTTAGACTAATGGTCATTATTATGGTCTCTGAAACAGTTTAGACATGGAGATAGACAGCCCTAAAGTCTATTTCCATACCATTACTTCCATCTGGCAAAATTTGATGGTTTCCTTCACTTACTAAAGTTGATTCTCAGAGGTCAAAAAATGTGCTCAGATATTCAAAAACTTGGTATTCAAAATGCCTAAATTTGGTAAAGAGACTTAGGATTATTACTATTTTTTTTATTTCTGGTGCTTACAAAATAAAGTCTTATTTTAAATCATTGAGCTATCTAGTTAGTTTATAAATAGAATTCAGGTGGTTCAAAATACATTATTTCATTTAAAATTTTAGGATCCAACGTGTTATGTACTGAGACAGCTTTATCATTTAGTCAAGGATTAAATCACGAAAAATTCATTTACTTATTTCTGGCAAGATGTATAACAGAAAACTCTTTAAATCTTTTAAATTACTGGAAGGATTCAACTATAGACAATCAAAAGACATCAAACATACTTTCTTCCTGAGGAAGAAAAGGAATCTGCTAGCAAACTTACAGTGAAAAGTGACCATGATTTACTGTTTAAAAGTTCTAAATGAAATGCATCAGACTGAAAATCAGGATAAGGTTTGCCATTCCTTTTAAGGCACACATCCTTCTAAGCTCATGTGATTTCCTACTTTATGTAGTAAAGAAGGACACAAACAATATGCTTCCATGTGTTTATTTCAACCTAAGCAATATTCAACTTCAAAAACTCAAAAATACTGTTTTCCCCATATATTCTGAAGGTGCCTTTGTAATTACTGTACTGATGAGTCTGTATACATACATAAATTAAAATAAATGTTGAGATCCTAAGTAAAAAATAGCTTACACTATAGCATAAACTGGCAATAAAACCTATCATTTTGTAATCTCTATCTTTATCCATAATGGAAAATAAACAAATCTATGACCTTAACCATTTATATGACCTCCCACAATACGTTTTTGAAGATCATCAAAAGATGCAATAAGAGACCTTTCTTGCAGAGATAAGTTGCTAATCTTAATAAGTGTTCCCAGAAAGAGAATACCAGTCAATGGGGAAAGCTGAATTAAAAATAGTCTAGCCAACTGTAAAACAACAACAGCATAGTAGAGTAGACGGTGGTTTATGGACTTCTATATTTAGCATTACATTATCATATTCTCCAACCCCACTCAAGTAGTATTCTAAAACATTAGTGTTTCATGCCTTTTTGCAGACTGACTCACGACTATATATGTAAAATATGAATATGTTAATTAGAGGTCAAAATATGGTACAAGTATATGTACACTTTACTAATAAAGCAATAAGATACTGTGCTTAAGAAAAACACATAAAAAAAGGTTTCCATTTATACATTGATATGTAATAGATTTAATGGAATGAAAGTTTACATCTGTACATCAAGTCTGCTTAAACACATTTTTCTTTTTTTTGTTAAGACAGGGTCTCGCTCTGTCACCCAGGATGGCGTGCAGTCACGCGATCATGGCTCACTGCAGCCTCAACTTCCCAGACTCAAGCAATCCTCCCACCTGAGCCTCCCAAGTGGTTGGGACTACAGGCATGTGCCAACCCACCCAGCTAATTGTTTGTAGAGATGGGGTCTCATTGTGTTGCTCAGGCTGGTCTTGAACTCCTGGGCTCAAGCCATCCTCCTGCCTAGGCCTCCCAAAGTTTTGAGATTACAGGCATGAGCCACCATGCCTGGCCTGCTTAAACAAGCTTGATTTCACTGTCAATAACCCTCCAGTAAAAAATTATACCGTACTTTTTTTTTTTTTTTTGGTGAGGAGTTTCCCTCTTACCACCTTGGCAGGAGTGCAGTGGGTGTGATCTTGGCTCACTGCAACCTCCGCCTCCCGGGTTCAAGCAATTCTCCTGAGTCAGTCTCCCAAGTAGCTGGGATTACAGACGCCCGCCACCATGCCCAGCTAATTTTTGTGTTTTTAATAGAGACGGGGTTTCACCAGGCTGGCCAGGCTGGTCTCGAACTCCTGACCTCAGGTGATCCGCCTGCCTCAGCCTCCTGAAGTGTTGGGATTACAGGTGTGAGCCACCACACCCACCCTACATAATTCTTTTACACTGTAAAAGTATTTTATGCTTTTAAATATATTTTTAAATACATATGCTTTTAGATAAATTATTAAATTTAATTAATATTTGAAGAATGATGGAAAAGAAAAATGGATTAAGAGTAAAAAACATAAAGGAGGCACGGAGAAAAAGGCTTTAAATTATTATTTAAATCTGATGTATACACTATTACTTTTTACATAATACAAACTGAAATATACAAGAAACAAAACAAATCACTGTGATATAGAACCCCTTAAAGAAAACGCTTGGAAAATCTTTGTCTTTTCTACACTGCAGGGCAAAAAAACCCTCTAATACTAGAGGTGCAGTATGCAGTTTCACTGCTGGACTGTGTACACTGTGAGAGGAATGCAAACTAAGCGCAAGATTGCTCCTGGAGGGATCACAAAACACTGCCCAGGACACTCTCATCATTCTGTGGGCCTGGAGCATTCTCTGGATCATTAAAACTGTCTCAAGTAGTTGCCACTCTATTCGAATTAGACACATTTCTAATAAGCCTCAAATTAAAAAAAAAAAGTTAATTTTGAAAAATTCACAAAAACAGGCCGGGCGTGGTAACTCACGCCGGTAATACTATCACTTTGGGAGGCTGAGGCAGGCAGATCACTTGAGGTCAGGAGTTTGAGACCAGCCTGGGCAACACGGTAAAACCCCGTCTCTATTAACATACAAAAAATTAGCCGGGCACTGTGGCGGGTGCCTGTAGTCCCAGCTACTCGGGAGGCTGAGGCAGGAATATTGCTTGAACCCAGGAGGTGGAGGTTGTAGTGAGCCGAGATCATGCCACTGAACTCTCCAGCCTGGGCGACAGAGCAAGACTCCAAGGGAAAAAAAAAAAAAAAACTAAAAATTTGCAAAAGACAATATAAAGACAATGATTCTGTACACTTTTTTCACATTACAATTAACTGAAAGTACTACTTTGGGTTAAAAACAGTATTAAAAATTGGAGAAATATTTTAAGGTCTCAGATGTTAAGAGCAACAGTATGTATGCCAATTGTTAGACTGTATTGTGGAAGGAAATTTTAGGTTCAACTATTATCTTAAGCACACACACACACGAGATACTTGCTTTACGGAGCTTTGACTTTTGCTAAATTAATTCACTAAAGATAAATGGAAGTGAAAGCAATGAGATGAGAAGGAAGTTATGACACATACATGGCATCATCTTTAAAATGAGAAACTGAAAGCTCAAGATGATGGCATGTGGGCATATGTGTCTTCTTTTATTTTCTATCTCCTGCCTTCTTCTCCTCCCATCTCTGAGACTCCACTCATGCCAATAAACAAGCTGATCATTAAGTTAAATGCTTCTATATGAGGTCTCAGGAAACTAACTTAGTAAGACTATAGATTACTTTTCTCATCTTTAACTGAGAACATTCTAAGTTATTTTAAAGCAACTGGGTGGGTAGAGGACAAGATTTAACTTTCTTTTTTAAGTCATGAGACTCGTTTATTTTCACAGCTAAACATTAACTGTTTTTTTTAATTCCATATTATAAAATTGTTGTATTTAAATCCAGATGCATTTTTATTTTTAAATATAGAGTAGTTACAAATAATATGTATCTTTTATTTTTAAGGTATACAATAAATTCTCAATTTCTCAACACTAGGAAAGGCAATGTCAGAGGGTTATACAATTAGGCAGAACTGAGTTTACATCTTACCTATTATAAGCTGCCTTAAGTCAATTAACTTCTCGGTATTTCAGTTTTCAATGCTACAAAGTAAGATAATAATGCCTACCTCATAGATATATAAACATAAAATAAGATAAAATAAGTGATAACCTTCAGGACATGATAGTTACTAAAATTAAGTACAGTCTCCACCACAAATCAGAATGAAATCATCCCTTCATCAATGCGCATCCCAAATTACCTAATGTGAGTTTGGGAATAGATTTTAAATTTTACAGTTCAAATAAGCATGTTACAAAACATATCAGAAAGGAAAATTCAAGGCCAGGCGTAGTGGCTCACGCCTGTAATCTCAGCACTTTGGGAGGCCGAGGCAGGCTGATCATGAGGTCAGGAGATCGAGACCATCCTGGCTAACACAGTGAAACCACATCTCTACTTAAAAATACAAAAAATTAGCCAGGCATGGTGGCGGGCACCTGTAGTCCCAGCTACTCAGGAGGCTGAGGCAGGAGAATGGCGTGAACCCGGGAGGCAGAGCTTGCAGTGAGCCGAGATCACACCGCTGCACTCCAGCCTGGGAGACAGAGCAAGACTCCACATCGAAAAAAAAAAAAAAAAAAGGAAGGAAAATTCTATCCGAAATCCAAATTATGAACTATTACAGTCACATGCTAACATTAATACCTTGAATCAATTCTCTTCTATTGATTTTCTTTTTTCTGGGTATGGTGGTGCATGCCTGTAGTGCAGTTTTTTGTTTTTTTGAGATGGGATTTTGCTCTGACACCCAGGCTGGAGTGCAGTGGAGCAATCTCAGCTCACTGCAACCTCCACCTCCCAGGCTCAAGTGATCCTTCCACCTCAACCTACAGAGTAGCTGGGACCATAGGCATGAATCACCAAGACCAGCTAATATTTTGTATTTTTGGTAGAGACAGTGTTTCACCATGTTGGCCAGGCTTGTCTCGAACACCTGAGCTCAAGCAATCTGCCCACCTCAACCTCCCTCTATTGGTTTTCTATTGAACAATATTACCTTCATAGGAAATGAATAGAATAGTGTCTCTCTCTCTCTCTCTGTGTTTTTTTTTTTTTTTTTTGAGATGGAGACTCACTCTGTTGCCAGGCTGGTGTGCAGTGGCGCGATCTTGGCTCACTGCAACCTCCACCTCCCGGGTTCAAGTGATTCTCCTGTCTCATCCTCCTGAGTAGCTGGCACTATAGGCATGCGCCACCACACCAAGCTAATTTTTGTATTTTTAGTAGAGACAGGGTTTCCCCATATTGGCCAGGATGGTCTCGATCTCTTGACCCTGTGATCCGACCAACTCACCCGGCCTCAGTATATTTTTAAAACAGAGGGGGAAAACACCAAAGTGGCCCAGGTTGGAGTGAAAGCTTTTTTCACTGAGATGGCCTCACAGACCAGCACACAACATGGAGTCCCAGAGGTCTTCAGACCCTGGCTGAAAGCTGCTTTCTCTATGCCAATCAAATCTGTAAAGTACAAGATGTCCTGTACCCAAGTGGAGATGCTTTTGTGTCTTTGCTGCTTTCTTCCAAAATACTGGCTCTTCCTCCTTTTTGTCTACTTTATTTCTCAAAATAAGTTGTAGATCATTCTTGGAGGCTCAACGCAGCCCAAAACAATCTTACTCTGCAATGCCCACCCAGGCCCTTAGCACAGCAGCTGGCTATTTGATATCCAATTTAGGGCATTTCTGTCTTCTTTCCCCGCCCAGTCTCATCCATAAGAGCAAGGTCTGTGTTAGCCCCTGGGCAGCCCAGAAGACCACTTTTTTGTACTGATAGTAGATAATACATATATAACTGGCTTGAGGGAGGAAAAAAATTAAGCATTGTTTTGGGCCAGTGCAGAGGATCCCTTAAACTCAGGAGTTCAAGACCAGCCTGGGCAACACAGGGAGCCCTCCTTTCCACTAAAAATAAAAATAAAAATAATTAGCTGGGCATAGTAGCCTGTGCCTCTAGTCCCAGCCACTTGGGTGGCTGAGGTGGGAGGATTCCTTGAACCCAGGAGATCCAGGCTACAGTGAGCTGTGATCGTGCCACTGCACTTCAGCCTGGGCAACAGAACAAGACCCTGTCTCAAACAAACAAACAAACCAAATCAAAAAGCATTGTTTGGATATCTAAGCCACTGTTTCCTTCGAGTATTAATAATCTAGTTTTATGTACCTCCAAAACTGACTCTCACTGACCTAGATAAATGGTTATTATAAGCCTTAAGACTCATCAGGCAAAAGCCTTTTTTAACCACCACTACCTCCAAGGAAAAAAACTGTTTATCAAAATACACACCTTTAAAATTTTTCTAATACTTAGTATCATTATGGTACTGTTGTGATATTACTAATACAAAAATATAAACAGTGGTAGAGTCATCCCACTGTACCTACGGGGGATTGGTTCCAGGGCCCCCACACAGATACCAAAATCCACAGATGCTTAAGTGCCTTATATAAAATGGTCTGGGCTGGGCGCATGGTTTGTGCCTATAATCCCAGCACTTTGAGATGGTGAGGTGGCCGGATTGCTTGACTCTAGGAGTTGGAGACCATCCTGGGCAATGTGGCAAAACCCCACCTTTACAAAAAATAAAAAATAAAAAAATTAGCCAGGTGTGGTGGCACATGCCTGTAGTCCCAGCTACTCAGGAGGCTGAGGTAGGAGGGTCACTTGAACCTTGAGGTTGAGTCTGCAGTGAGCCACGAATGTGCCACTGCACTTGGGTGACAGAACAAGACCCCGTCTCAAAAAAAAAAAAAGTCTAGTATTTGCATACGACCTACACATATCCCCCTGCATACTTCAAATCATCTCTAAATTACTTACAATACTGAATACAATGTAGATGCTATGTAAATAGTAGACTGTATTATTGGGGGAATAATTACAAGAAAAAAGTCTGTACATACTCAGACTTAGCCAACCGAGTATGTACAGACGTACTTTTTAAAAATATTTTCAATCTGTGGTTGGTTGAATCCTTGGAGGCAGAACCCACCGATATGGAGGGCCAGCTGTACTTATTTCTTATGAAAAGAGGTCAATTTGATTAAGTTTCTCTGTTCCTAAAAAATTTGGAATCTGGGGCCCCAGATGCCTGGGGAAGAAAGTATGACCGAAAGCAAGAAGCTTTAACAACAGCTTACTTGATGTCTCAGCTGGAGAAGGGAGTTCCCAGGGTCTCATTAATACTCAGCAAGTCTAACAGTGAGCTACTTTGGTGAAGGCAAACAAGGAAGACTGCTTAAACACACAACAAAGCAACTAAACCTTCTACGGTACTATACTGCCAAAAGGGCAGCTTCTTCTCCTTACAGCTCTTCCATCTGACACTGGTACGGCACTGAGACTCGTCACACCATTATGTACCCAATCTCCACATTGTAGAGCATGACTCAACTATAAATGGTATGAGGACAAGGGCCCCATCCATTTTGTCCACTGTTACATCCCCAGCATCTAGCACAATGTGTGGCATATAGTCCGCTTTAAAATAAATATATGTGTCTATATGTATATACAGTCAAGCAACAATGGAAGTACCTTCTAAGAAAAGCATCACTAAGTGATTTCATTGCTGTACAAACAACACAGATTGTACCCAGACAAACCTAAATGGTATATATTTTTTATTTATATAAAATTTTATAGGGAAAATCAAATGTCCCAGCAACATTATTAAATATTAATTATACCTCTTACTTGATCTGCAATGCCAATATCAAGTGCCATACATCAGGTTTCTACATATGCTCCACTATAATCTTTTGGGACTATGTCATATATGGAGTCCATAGTAGGCTGAAGTGTCATTATGCAGTGTGTACGTGTGTGTATATGTGTTTGAAAATAATGTTTACATGTATGGTATGCTCTTAAATAAGGACCGGGAGGATAGCAAAAATAATACACACACATATGCATATATATGCTGAGTATAATAAATAGATGGCAAAAATAAAGAAAAGTATTTTACCACTTCACTTTCACCATCATAGTGTCATATTGATTTTTTACAATATGATCTGAAGATAATTTGAAGAAATTATGTAAAATATGAGATACCACATTAATAAATTTCCCTCCAAGGCAAGATTACATGTAGACCATTTAATATTCCTTCTGACCAGATCCAAGCTTTACTTATAAACAGTTTATAAGATTCTGAAGAAAATATGATTGCAATACAGTAAGATCTCTAACTGCATTCTGGCAGCACATCAAAACACATGTCCCAAGAGGCCTAATATTGCATGGTCAGCGAAGAGGAAAAGTCAAAGAAGTCTTCTACTTTGCTGTTTCTCTGAAGAGGGAATCACATTAGGCCATTAAGTAGTCAGATACATTATTTTATTGCTTGCAAAACCCTTGGGTAATAAAGAATGAGTACAAATTGCCACAGGCAGTTTTGGAAGAAAAACAGAACTGTGCAAAACAATGACAGTTGCTCTACTGCAGCACTGGACAAATGCAGTAAAGAAAACAGTACATCAGTTGCAGTTTTTCTGCTTAAGTAGAGTGCTCTGCCTTGTGTGAGAAGGAGCTATACAAGCACATAACTGCAGAATCTGTGTGTGAATGCACAAGTAGGACAAAGGTGATAGACTGTAAATGCGTTTGTAAAAGCTATCAAGTCGGATTCAGTCTGTCTTTGACTCTCTCTCTCTCACACACATACATACACACACACACGTGTGCACACACAGAGTTCCATTTCCTTCTAAATAATAAGACTGAGGAGCAGCTACAGTGAAAAGCATGCGCACTCTGGACACACAAAAGTAAAAAAGGTAAAGAGTTTTCATTGAGAGGAACATTAATATTTTTCAATGAGGATGCTAAGACAAAAATAAAGAGTGATACTTCTTTAATGTGGCCTATGAGAGAAGAAAACGACTTACTTTCTATGCAAAGAAAACTCATTTGTATCACACCTTGTACAGGTAAACAGCAAGAATGAGGGATTTATTTTCATGGGATTAAGAGAATGAAACTGGACTCACATCTTTAGCCTTGCTTGAAAAATGCTGTTAAATATCGTATGTTCTTCTAAAGACTACTCAAACTTCATTATTGTGCTACTTTAAGGTATTGTGTGAGCATTTTATCTACTTTCAATGTCAAAAACCGCAATTACTTTTGCACCAATCTAATATATACTTCTATACTGTTAAATTTTCCAAAGTATGAGAATCCTGTAACACTATGATTATAAACAATGTAAGAACTTTACATTTAATTACAGAATCTCATAAGAGTTTTTATCTGTAACAAAATACAGAGGACCCCTAACTTGTGAATTTTCAACTTTCAAAATTGTATTAAAAAAAAAAAAAACTCTAGAGCAAAAGCGCATCAACTCTACCGGCTACCAACAGAGGGCGAAAGCGGTCACATGCAGCCACTCCAACACTTCCTGCTACTTCATCTTCTACAGTTGGACAGGTTCATGCTTAGTTTCATGAAGTTTTAAATAACTGACTCTATTAAGTTTAACAAACAAAAGCATTACAAATAAGAAATGTACAACCAACCACAACAAAGTAAGAGATTTTAACAACTGAAGGTGATGAGAAAATGATGAATGTTTCTGCGAGTGGAAATAATTGTGGAGGACAAAGTGAACCCTGCAATACTGGAAATATACTGACACACAATCAAAAATAATCAACAAGAGATGAAAAAAAGCTATAAGATAGAGAATTATAAACAGAGAATATGAAATATGTAAAAACTATTTTTATTATACACTCCTATTAAAAAATACATCCATAATATTTGTATATTTATTTTTCTAATTTTCTATGTGTACCTCTGTATTTCATTCAATCTAAGAAATACATCAACTGTAGACATATTAGAACCAATGAAGTATGGTATTTGACTAATGTATTATATACGTTATGAAGCATATATGAAGTTGGAATTTTCAAAGGAAACAAACAAGAGACCTAGAGACTCTAATATTCTTCTCCCTGCACTTTAACAGACCTTTTGCACAACAGTTTGGAGATCCCCCATCAGAATATAGGATGAAATAAATAAAATGGTAGATGTTAGATCTCAATAAATGCTACTGAAAAGTAGATGCCTCATCTCCCCTATTACATTTATTATATATTGGATATCATCATCTGTGATAAACCTGACAAAACAAGCAAAAAAGCATGAAACAAATATTTCTTATAAAGCATCCCCCCAAAGTTATTCATTAGAGTAATGATGCTGTAGGAGTGAAAGGCACAGATTTTAGAGTCAGACCAACTTGGATTTGTGGCATGGCTATCTATGCCAGTCACTACTAAAAGCACCAGACACTTGCGTATTCTCATCTATAAAATGAACATAACAATCCTTACTTCACAGAACAAAAATAAGGATGAACTGTGAGTAAGCGCATATACGAAGCTTGCAGCAAATGTCTGGAACACAACAAGACTCAATAAAGGACAACAAAGAGATTATTCATGGCAACTTATTTCATCTGTTTAATTACACTAGCTTATCCAAAGTGTTGGACAGAAAGATGATATGTGAAAGGGTTTGACTTAACCAGTCTACTTCACTTAAGTCACTTTTAGATACCACAATTGCTGACACAAATACAGTATGAACCCTCAGACCAAAGCCCATTTCTGCTTATAGATGTGAGTAAATACAGGAAACGCACCAACAATGAGCAAGCATACTGGCCTCTTTATCTAACATAAGCTTCAGGGTACAGGGGTTCTTCGTGAATCTAGCACTGGAAAGTTCTATGTGCCTGCCGTAATCAGCCTCAGATGCATCTGACAGCTGATAATACTAATGGGACAACAAAGCACACTGTGAACAACACAGGCCAGAAGAATCTCCACAACAGCAAGGCTCATTTCAACAGGACAGTTTTCTTAATAAGAGCTTTTAAAACAAATGCCAATTAAATACGAATTTATTGATAATATGATCTGTAGAGCTATATTTTGCTAATTATCATTTATCAAACACTACCACTTCTTAAATACAAACACTCCTGATACACTGTTTAGGATTTCCAAAATGATCAACTAAAGGATTATTGGGCACAAACTGAAGTATGGATGGCAAAATCTTGACACAGATTGTGGGAAACAGGATGGTAGAATAACTGGCCTATACATGTGTTTTCTGACCTCTGCTGCCTCTGTTTATTGCCCTAGGATTGGCAACAGCTATTCTCAGAATAAGAAATCTGAATTCCATCTACTAACTTGAATTGACTTTCTACATGTGCTTTTCAGAATGTCAGTGTTTTAAATTTGAACTTTTAATTTATATTTTAAGGACTCCAATCTGTACTCTCCCTGAAATTGTTAAGATTCTAACCTGTAATAATACCTGTCTGTTCTTGTTGTGTACAACCATACACTACCACTGGCATCACCCTTAACATTTAATGCGGGGGGTGGGGGGGCGTGCATGTCCCTCATTTAAGGTTCAAAACTTGAGAACTCTGGTTATAACCTGGGCAATGAACTGGATCCAAGAGTCAGCGTAGTCAAGAGAATGCAGCACTAACGTCATTACCGAGTGCCATGAGAATGATAAAGGCAGTGCCTCCCTTGAAGTGTCTGAGAAAACTCATGCCCCAAGGAACGCAGAGCCTCTATCTCATTCAATGTGGACATCTTCTCCCCCACAACAGACCATAAAAGCAGTCTATACGCCAGAAACAGGAATAGAAATGGAAGATAATGCCAAAAGAATCCTGAGCAGCCCTATTAAAGATGATACGTGGAACCAAGACTTGTTGGCGGCTGAACTCACTTCCCATTAAGAACAATTCTAACTTTTGTCCATTTCCCTAGTAGATGCTATCTAGCCAACTCCCTTCACATATCACTGTTTAGGAAGATGAGATTTACTGACATGTATTAACAATGGGTAGGTAAGTATGTGGGTACCTTTAAGTATCACCAACCCTTGGTTTTCTCATTTTATTTATTTTTGCTTCATTAATAAAGCTAATTTGTACTTCCCATTTGCTTTCCTTTGCATTTCTTTTAAGTATTAGGCAGATGAATGCTTTTCTTATAAAGTTTCTTGTAAAGACTGGTTGAAACTGAGTATTCTTTGGTACTGACTTTTTAGCTATCAATTACTTGCACAGATTAAGGTCTAATGAATGTGTTCATTTGTAGTATTTTGTGAATATAGTATTTGATATATTTACCATGACCAGTCCATTGCTTTTCTCTTTAATACACGTAGTGCACTCCAAATCCAAAACAGTCCAAAATCCAAAACTTTTTGAGCACCAACATGACACCACGAATGAAAAATTCCATACTTGACCTCACGTAATGGGTCATTACCAAAACAGTCGAAACTGTTTAATGCACAAAAATCACTAAAAATATTGTATAAAACTACCTTCAGGCTACATGTGTAAGATGTATAGGAAATGCAAATGAATGTTTAGACCTGGGTCACATTCCCAAGATACCTCATTATATATTTGCAAGTATTTCAAAATCCAAAAAAATCCAAAATTTGAAACACTCCTGGTCCCAAGCATTTTGGATAAAGAGTACTCAACTTGTACTGCTGGTTTTTGAGTATTTTTAAAAAATTTTTAATGAAACCACCAAAATGCAGTTATAATTACATTCAAGTTTTACAAAGTGTAAATATCTCTCACTCTTGGCATGATTCATTAAGGGCTAAAATAGATAAAGTAGCTGCCAGGGGTCATGTCCAAGGGCAGGAGCTATTATAAGACAGGCAACTAACTGTAATCCCAACACACATTTTGGAGGCTGAAAGTCCAGAATTTAAATCCCAAATCCATGTTAATAGCTATCTGACCTTTTAGCAAGTCACATAATCTCTCTGAGCTTTACTTTTAACATCTGTAAAATGGGGATGCTATCATTTATCTCTCAAGGTTGTTAGGAGGATTAAATGAGGTATTTAATCAGCAGATACTTATGAACTAGGTCAAGGCACTCTCCTAAGCACTTTTTAATATTAACTCATTTCATCTCCATAATCCTAAATTCTCTCTTTTACAGATGAACTAAAACAGAGAGGTTAAATAACTTTTACTTCTCTAAGGTACAAAGCAGCAAAGTCAAGATTCGAATGCAGGCAGTCTAGCCTCAAAGTTCAGGCTCTTTAGCACCACACTAAGGATCTAAAACACTCGCCTAGCACCTAACATAGTGATGAAAATTATGATAAACCACACAGTGCCCAGAATAATATACAAGCATGCCGCACCCTAGAGGCCCTTAAAGATGGTCTTGATTGAGACAGCATATAAAGTACACAAGTACATCTACATTACATTTACATAGCACAGAAATCTTTAAAGATACAAATTAATGCTACCACTTTAGGAATTTAGAAGAAATCATCAACATACTATTTCAAAAATGGCTGTTTCCCAGCATGAGTGCCTAGATTTTCTCTTAACATTGTTAAGTGAATCTTACAAATAATTGGCAGCTAATATTTTGGTCCTATCAATATTTAGCACTCAATTTCAATTATAAACTAATGATATTAATTTTTGAAAGAAAATATTCAAGTGTACTTTAATACAAAGATTCAGAAGATAATAAAATTTACTATTATTTTCAAAATATCAGTATTTTTAATGAATAACGTAATAAATGTTCATTGAAGAAAACTGAAAAATACCAGGATATAGAGAAGACAACAGTTCATTACTTTAATGAATAAAGTAATAAATGTTCATTGAAGAAAACTGAAAAATACCAGGATATAGAGAAGACAGCAGTTCAATATCGGCTTTACATTTCAATGTAGTTTGAGACATTAAATTTTAAGATAAATGACTTCTTTATCTCAATTTTGGAAACTGATGAAATTTCATGAACTGAAATAATCACTGTCAAGGTGTTTCAAGAAAGAAATGTGCTTCAAACAGGTGAAACATTAATTCCACATAAAATTGTTTTAAAATAATAAATAATTTTCTCCACTTGCTTTTGTTGTTGTTTTTGTTTTGTTTTGTTTTGTTTGAGACAGAGTTTCACTCTTGTTGCCCAGGCTGGAGTGCAATGGCGCAATCTCAGCTCACCACAACCTCTGCCTACCGAATTCAAGTGATTCTCCTGCCTCAGCCTCTCGAGTAGCTGGGACTATAGGCATGTGCCACCATTCTGCAGATACTCTTGTTAAAGACCCTTTATGCACTATGTTCAACTACAGTGCTAAACCTCAAACAATATTTTCATCATATGATGTGATTAGTGATTAAACAAAACAAGCATTACTTAAGAGGAATTTTATAAAACCTTGGAGTTCCCAGAAACATTACATATGTATATGCACCGTAACTGATTAGCATACTACATTACACCCAGTCTGGGCCAGTAAACATTATTTTATATGGGCATGCTCTATCTCCTTCAAACTACTATTACAACATTAAACACCACTACTTAAATTCCCTTTCTGCTCCATATCCCTATTTCCAGCCATACTACCCTGGTATAAGTAAGTACTATGGGCTTATAAATTAGCTCACTGAAGGATACAGAAGTTGTCATCTGATTTGAAATGCATGGGATTAGATTTTTATTCACATTGGATGTTGCCTAAACAATCCTGGCTCTATTTTGCAACTTCCCGCATTTGTAAAACTTCCTTTTAACTGCAACAAGCAACTGGAGAAAAGGATTAATAGGAAACCTGGCACTACAGTTCACCAAATAACACAGTACACAAGTAGACACAGGTCTGTAGGGAAATACAGTCAGGACCAGCCACTGAACACAATTGCTTTTTGAGTCCAAAGATAAAACAGCTTGAATCTCAGATTGTCATAAGCATTTACTGTGGGAAAGGTCCTTTAAAATGATCTGGTCCAAACCCCTGGTTTTCTTGATGAACAATGGTAAAGAATTAGACTAATTTCAATCCAAATATTCACGTGCCTGCTATGTGCTGTGTATTAGTTCACAAACTGAATTTTCTAAAGAGACTTCTTTAGTAAACACATGAAACATGCCTGTTTACAATACAGTTTTTGTTTTTTGTTTTTTGAGATGGAGTCTCGCTCTGCCGCCCAGGCTAGAGTGCAGTGGCGCAATCTCGGCTCACTGCAAGCTCCGCCTCCCGGGTTCAAGCAATTCTCCTGCCTAAACCTCCTCAGTAGCTGGGATCACAGGTGCATGCCACGATGCCCGGCTAATTTTTGTATTTTTAGTAGAGACAGGGTTTCACACCATGTTGGCCAGGCTGGTCTTGAACTCCTTGTTAAGCCACCGTGCCAGGCCCACAGTTCACTTTTGTGAAGTCAATAAAATTAACTGAGAGGCAGTACAGATTCATGGGAAGAACAGAAATCCAAGCACTGGAATCACTTAGTGAATTAAATACTGTAGTGCTTTATGCAAATCATTCAACCTCTTACTTATTACAGATGGGCAATCTTACCTCACAAGTCCTTCTAACTCCAGTAACAAAACAAATTAGGTTCGTTTGTTAAAAAATAGCATTGATTCATTTGAAAGTCCACACTCGGATACTAGGAATTTGAATTAAAACTTTAAGTATTTAATTCTGCTTAATACTATGGTAGATTATAAGTAAAATTACTTGTATGTGGATAAAATGTGAGAATATTCTGAAAGAATATATTAGAGACCATTCATTGTGAATATGTCTGGTGAAAAGGGGAAACAGAAGGTAAAGAATGTGACTTCTGTTTCTCAACGTGCAGTCTCTTACACTGCCTAATTCTTCCATGGGTATGTATTTTTTTTTAATTTTTAAACTCTAATTTTTAAAAAAAAGTACTTAAATCATGGAAGGCAATGCAACGTAGCAGAAAGTTCTTTCTACTGAACTAGAAAAGGACAGAAAAGACTTCTTTCTAGTCTGGCTCCAGTTAGCTCTGTAAGCTTGGGAAGTCTATTTGAGTTCCAACATGCTAGCTCTCTTATGAAAACAAGAATGAAACTACACTGTTGCCACCATCCCAATGGACTCAATGTTATATTACTGGTCTTAGGTTACTATTCTCTCATTCAATCGTTCAGTGCATTCATCAAACACTGAAAGAAGAACAAGAACTAAATGAATGTAAAAGAGTGTAGAAATTAATTTCTCTGTAATCAAAATAATTGATAGTAAAAAAATACTGTCAGAGTTCTGGAAATGCTTAATTTGCTAAAGAAAAGGAGAGAACAGATAAAAGATAAACTTGGTGAAAACCCAAAATCTATTATTGAGGAAGGTAAATAAGTACATGTTCAACCCTTGACCTGAGCTGATTTTATTAGAATGCTTTCCAAACATATGTCAGTAACTAAATTTTTGAAATCTTCTAAAACACATAAATTACACCTCTAGTAGGAGGGATGATATTATCTTCCGTTTCCTAAATGAGTGATGGATCATACCTTCTTTCTCTAAATACAAATTCAATTACTGATCTCCCTAATGATGGATCTGAATGCATGAAATTAACTCTTTTCAACGTAAGATTCATCCTGCATCAGAGAAGAATAAGATGTATCACTGCATTTTTCTTCACAGCTTTATGTGACTGCTAACAGGGTCATGTGGTTATCAAAGCCGTTTTCTCACGATTTATTATTAATATGTATTTCTCTATTGCAGTTTTCTCCCCAATCCCATACCTTAAATAAAACATACTGTTAAACATTAAAACTTGAAGTCTGGCCGGGCATGGTGGCTCATGCCTGTAATCCCAGCACTTTGGGACACCAAGGCAAGTGGATCAGGAGAGCTCAGGAGTTCGACACCAACCTGGCCAGCATGGCAAAACCCCGTCTCTACTAAAAACACAAAAAGTAGCCGGGGGTGGTGGTGCAAGCTTGTAGTCCCAGCTACTTGGGAGGCTGAAGCAGGAGAATTCCTTGAACCCAGGAAGCAGAGGTTGCAGTAAGCCAAGATCTTGCCACTGCACTCTAGCCTGGGCGACAGAGTGAGACTCTGCCTCAAAACAACAACAAAAAACTCAAAGTTTTCTTTGACATTTAAAATACGCCCAATTTTTAAGTTTTAAAAGAATACTTTTTCTTTTATGTCACCTAATAGACAAAATGAATAAAGGAGGGGAAAAAATGACACTTTTTCTTCCATAACTCTAAGTTTGGCTAAATGTTACAAAGAAATGTATCTGTCCTCCAAAGCAAATTGTATCTTCTGATTTACTATTAAGCACCAGTCACTGAATATTCAGGCAAACCTTCAAGAGGCAGAGAGAAAGCCTCACTATTCCATACTCCTGTTCTCTATCCTTTTGACCCTAAGATTCAAATTGATTGGACACACCTGACTATACTAAAACTTTTCAGTTTGACAGCTCTAGAGGAAGGCACAGACCATGTGACTACCACAAGGGTGCCCTTGACAGAACAGCATCCAGCTTAGCCCCTTAGGGCAAGTATGCAGACCACTGCATATAAATTCAGAGAATGTGTAAGGATGGAAACCATTTTCCTCTTCCTAAATATGTATTTAAATACCCTGCTTAGAGCTTTATTGCGCAAGCAAGGTTCATTTAAAACAAAAACAGGATTAGGAATCTTCTTCAAAGCCTAGAAGGCTCTACAGTGTCTGGTCTCCACAAATAGTTTTTCCACTGTTTGCCATTAAACTTTCTAACCCAGAGGCTAAAAAAATGAATGACCACTGTTTTTTGTTTCTTCTTTAATATCTCACACTTAACATTAAACCACTATATCTTACCTTTTTCATTTTGGGGGGAAATACGGTATTTATTATTTCTTTGCCAAGACTAAGTGCAAGCAACTTGGAATCAGACTGTTCTAGCAGCTGCCCCTTTGCAGTGTGACCTTGGTCAAGTTATTTATCCCCATGTATCTCAATTCCTTTAACTAAAATTAGGAGTATCACTACTACTACCACTTAATCTCACAAGGCTACTGTGGGGGATAACAAGACATAAAGACTGTACAAGCAGTTTGCATAAACGTCCTGCCCTTCTCCTTTAAAATGTGTTCTCAGCACTTTCTAGATCTGTGTAATATGATTCCCTAGGACTCCATTTCCTCAGCTGTAAAACCAAAGAAAATAACACAAAGCACCAGGTATGTAGTCAACACTGGACATAATTTATGTAAAGCATTTATTAGCACAGTATCTCAAAAAATGCTAGTCCTGACTTACAAATAATAGTTCCTTTTCCTTCCAACTTGAAGCTGTGCTACTGAACATCTTCATGTTGTAGCTTTCGATCCTGCCATTTCAATTTGTCTTTGAGTACACATCTAGACCTGCAAGCTCCAGGAAATAGACTTCCTTTCTGCTGGCTCCTTCCCTTAAAGTTTGAAGAAGATGCCAAGTGATCTAATCCATCCAGAGAAGCTATAGTGGCACCAGATAGTACCATAAAGAGTATGCTATAATAGGTTTCAGGTGTTTCTCAATTGCAGTTGTGTGAGATACACTCTAGCCTCAAAAAATTAACAGGAGCCATTGGAGCCAGAAGATTTTTTTTTTTTTTTTTTTTTGAGACGGAGTCTCGCTCTGTCGCCCAGGCTGGAGTGCAGTGGCGCGATCTCGGCTCACTGCAAGCTCCGCCTCCCGGGTTCACGCCATTCTCCTGCCTCAGCCTCCCGAGTAGCTGGGACTACAGGCGCCCGCTACCACGCCCGGCTAATTTTTTGTATTTTTAGTAGAGACGGGGTTTCACCGTGTTAGCCAGGATGGTCTCGATCTCCTGACCTCGTGATCCGCCCGCCTCGGCCTCCCAAAGTGCTGGCCAGAAGATTTTTTAAGTGCTAAAATCCTTGGCAGGGGACACAATAAAATAATACAAAAGGCACTTAATGGGGGCCAAGCATGGTGGCTCATGCCTGTAATCCCAGCACATTGGGAGGCTGATAACAGAGGACTGCTTGAGACCAGGAATTCAACACTGGCCTGGACAACATAGTAGGACTCTATCTCTACAATAAATACACAAATTAGCTGGGCACAGTGGCACACACCTGCAGTCTCTGTTACTTAGGAGGCTGAGGGAGGAGGACTGCTTGAGCCCAGGAGTTGGAGGCTGCAGTGAGCTATCATCACACTATTGCACTCCAGCCTGAGTGACAGAGCAAGGCTTTGTCTTACAAACAAAACAAAATAAAAACCAAAAACTACAAAACGCACTCACTAAAAACAGTCCCAGGGCACATTAATGAATTCTGCAGAAGCAAGGGGTCAAGAGCAATTGGGAGAAGTTATGTATGAATCACCATAATATTGTGACAAGTCTGAACTAAGCCCTCAAAAGAAGGCTTGTTTTTGAGGGTTTTTTAAAGCTATTTTTTTAATCTTTAAGTATCAAGACCATGTTTATCTGTAGCCCTGGAATCACATAATTCTAACAAGCAACAATCCCAATTTTTCAGTCATTACTGCCAATTTGGGAAAGCAATTCACCATCTTTTATACATCTTGGGCCCAAAGGGCAGAGCACAAATGGACATAAAATAATGTCTCTGCTACTCTCTGGGTCTCAGGAGTCATATTTTTAGGGCAACCTCTTCATATCTTCCACGGCTGCTAAGCAAGCACTTTCCTCTCCAGTCAGTGCAGTCTTTCCTTGAGACACCACGGTGACATGTGTCTGTCTTACTGCTGCTTCCCTCCTCTTGATTCCACCCCAAGGCATCCAAACCTTACAGGCTTGTCAAAGCCCACTTTAACTTCATAAATATCTCTTCTTTACTAGAGCCCATATCAGTATCTACCTGTTTTCACCTTTACTTCTTATCAGCTATTTAACAGATCAAGATACTAATTATAACAATGTCTTACCTCTAATGGCTTTAAATGCTTATGTCTTATCTTCATAATAATACTGAGTTCCTCGGCAGGACTTCGGAAAGTTATTTTACTCACGCCCACTAATGGCCAAAGCAAGATCATTTTTCTTTGTGAAAAACTACTGTTAAGAAGAGCTACTCATAGAATATAGATAACAAAACAAATATATTAGGAAATTAGTAAATAAGGTAGACCAAGTATTTAGAGTGAATATAAAGTATCTTCTTTATATTCAGTTGACAGTCATATATGCATATACTTGGACTGAATGTCATAACTGTTAAGTAAAAATAAAGGAATGGAACAATGGGCAGAGTTATGTATACCACTGGATATACTATCTGCATAAGAAAGGGAATATATACATATGTATTTGTGTACATATGCACAGACTAATCTCTGAAAGGATGGAAATGAACTGGTAATAGGGATTAACACTAGAAGAAAAACTGGGTGGCCAGGCAGTGGATATAGAAGACTTACTTTCTCACCCTATACCATTTTGTGCTGCTAAATTTTGTACCATATACATGTATTTTCAATTCCAAATAACTTAAATAGGACAGAGAGCTTATCTACTGAAAGGAAAACATTTTTTAGGTATACATACTTTAGTAAATTAATAAAATAATTGGCCGGGCACTGTGGCTCACGCCTGTAATCCCAACACTTTGGGAGGCCGAGGCGTGTAGATCACTTACGGTCAGCAGCTCAAGACCAGCCTGGCCAAGATGGTCTCTACTAAAAATACAAAACATTAGCCGGGCATGGTGGCACCTAACTGTAATCCCAGCTACTCGGGAGGCTGAGGCACAAGAATTGCTTGAACCCGGGAGTCAGAGGTTGCTGAGCTGAGATCACACCACTGCACTCCAGCCTGGGCGACAGAGTAAGACTCTGTCTCAAAAAAAAAAAAAAAAAAAGGAAGGAAGAAAAACAATTAAAATGCTCTGCTGTGCATATGAATTATTATGATAAAGACTCAAACATTCATCCAATCATTTCTTGGGTAATTCTAAATGCCAGTCTCTATGCAATTTTGTAAAGAGATAAATTATTTTAACACTTTATAATTCATAATCATTTCTACATATAATTTAATTTCTACATATAATTTCTACATAATCATTTCTACATATAATTATAAACATTAACTTTATTAGTGAAAGCAGAATAAATAACTGAAAAAATAGTGGTTATGAACCTGGAAAGGCCTGAATTTAAATCCAAGATCCTAGACTTTGTAGATGCGTGGTTCTCAGCTTATGACTTAACTTCTCTGAACACTAATATCCCTCTTAAGACCAGAGTTCAGCAAATTATAACCCCAAGGCAAATTACATCCTGCCACCCATTTCTTGTAAATAAAGCTTTATTGGAACAACCTATGCCTCTTTGCTTACATATCATCTATGGCTGCTTTCTCAGTACAATGTGAGACCTGACTAGATTTGCCAGAGCCCATATACCCTACAAAGCCAAAAATACTAATTATCTGGTCCTTTACAATAAAAGTTCACCTGCCCCTCCTAAAAGTAAAATGCATACAAACCACATCTACTTTGAAATTGTCTAAGAATATAAAATCTCATGATATGTATCCTAGAGCAAAAGAAAAAGAATTTAAAAAAGACTAAAAATTTTAAAAAGAATATAAAACTCCACTCCATGCAGGCAGCAGGTCAAAACTATTTCAGAATGACATCAAGATATTATTTATCTTTTTCACTCTTTCTCCAAGTGTACAGTGGAGTTTTCCAGAGGCTACATGGAATTGTGACGTCAAAAGACTACAACACAGCTGTATTCACTTAAGCCAGATATTAAAGAAATTTGCAAAAACAGTGCCATTATTCTTACTACATTGCTTTAAAATATAGTCATTTTAGTTAAAATATAATCATTTATGTTAACATGCAGTGGGTTTATTATTATTACTATTTTAAAAGTCAGACATAACTTTCCTCAGTTTTATTTGGTGGTGGTGGTGGTGGTGGGTTTTTTTGAGATGGTCTCGCTCTGTCACCCAGACTGGCAGTGGTATAATTATAGCTCACTGCAGCCTCAATCTCCCAGGATCAAGCAGTCCTCCCACCTCAGCCTCCCAAGTAGCTGGGACTACAGGTACACAACACCATGCCCAGCTAACTTTAACCTTTTGCAGAGATGGGGGAGGGGGGGTCTCACTATATTGCTCAGGCTGGTCTCGAACTCCTAGGCTCAAGGGATTCTCCTGCCTTGGCCTCCCAAAGGGCTCAGATTACGAGCATGAGCTGTCGCACCCAGCCTTTTTATTCATTTTATTATTATTATTTATGTTTTTGCGACAGGGTCTCTGTCACCCAGGCTGGAGTACAGTGGCGTGATCACCGCTCATTGCAGCCTTGACCTCGTGGGCTCAAGCGATCCTCCTGCCTCAGCTCCTCAAGTAGCTGGGACTACAAGCGTGTACCACCACAGCTAATATTGGTATTCTTTTTGTAGAGACAGGGTTTTACCATGTTGCCTAGGCTGGTCTCGAATTCCTGGGCTCAAGCGATTCACCAGCCTCAGCCTTCCAAATTTCCTCCATTTGAATATTTTATCATAAATATTGATAAGAATCCACATAAACAAAAGCATCCTGGGGTCCTCAATTTTGTTAACAGGTGTTCTGAGATCTGAAAGTTATGGAATAAGCTATACCAAGCTTGTCCAACCCGTAAACCATGGGCCGCATGTGGCCCAGAACAGCTTTGAATGCAACCCAACACAAATTCATAAACTTTCTTAAAACATTTGAGGTTTTTTTTTTTTTTTAGCTCATTAGCTACCATTAGTGCTAGTATATTTCATGTATGGCCCAAGACAATTCTTCTTCTTCCAATATGGCCCAGGGAAGCCAAAAGGTTGGACACCCTTGTGCTATATTGTAACTTGAGTGCAACACAGTGGCATGATCAATTAGTCAACAAGAACAATTGGGCACAAGGGGCTGACCTTCTTTATATACTTGGCAGGGTTTGGATAAACAGAGTAGAGAATATACTTGGACAATCAGTGAGACTAACACCATCCAGCATGCAATTTAAAATAAAAATGTGACAAAAATAACTATAACAATTAGAAGTTCCCCAAGATACTTAAGAAATTTTATTCAAAAGTTTGAAATAAGGTGAAAGGAGGACAGCTTGTCCTTTCAATGCCATATAGAGAGAAAGGCACATCTGAGGATCATGTAGCCCTCAGGTTCCCAAACCATGTACCAAAGCACCCCAGAACACTGCAGCAAATTCACAAGGGTACTATAGGACATTCTCAATTTCTTAGGAAATCAAAGTAACATTTGTCAGAGAACATGCAAACTACTAGCTCAAGTTCACAGTTTCAGTATTAGACTGTACTACCTTACCTTCAATGAAGTCAAATATTTGTGAAACGTTTTTTCCGTGGTAGCTGTGATACAAAGTAAAATCAATGCAGATAGAAAATAACAGTAGTGATTTCCAGCCTGATTCTTTGGTTTGAGTTGTGCAGTGCTCACCAGGCATATACATCCTGTTAACAAGCAACTGCGGCTATTTAAGAATAAATTTTATTGTTTCACTGCAGTATGTGCATTATTTGTTGAAACAGTTACTAAGTTATCAGTACATAAATACTTATTATTTGTACTTAGTAACTAGAACTGTTAGGTATTTCTTTTGGCCTATAGGAATACGAAGGTATTCCTAGGGCACTATAAAAACAATAAAGTTCAGGAACTTCTGATTTAAGGGAACATACTTTGCACAATCCACATTTCACTGTTCTTTAAAGGTCACAAATTTAGTGAGGTTTTACATTAATTTGTATATTTGTGGATAGTAGAAACAGTTTCTGTCCTGACAAAGAGAGAGCCCCTATTATGGCTTGCACTCCTCAGGACATTAACCACTTTTGTAACTAACTCAGCAATCTTATCCTTATATTCTTTTATACATTTCCTATAAAGTCCTAACTAGTCTAATGCTCCTTAAACTGCTTTTAACATCATACCTGTTCCCTCACTAATTAAAGAGTTATGAAAATGTTTGGCAATTATTTGTTTCGTATTTGCATTACGATGCTAATTTTGTCTTTTTGTAAACTGTACTTTAGGATGCTGAAGTCCTTTTCTAGTATATCTAGAAATAACTATTTTTAAAAGCCAAAATTTAAAGATTTCACTAACTACCAAGTACTTTGGAGGAATGTATGTATAAGAATACATATAGCATAAAAAAAGATTCTACACATACTCCTGTATTAAAATAGTGGATATACCTATATGTTAGAATATAATTCAACTATCTTATAAGTCTATGTGGTTTTCAACATTTTCTAACATTTAATAAATATATTCAGGCTGGGCACAGTGGCACACATCTGTAATCCCAGCACTTTGGAAGGCCAAGGCACTTGAGTTTGAGACCAGCCCGGGAAACATAATGAGACCCTGTCTCTACAAAAAATACAAAAATTAGCCAGACATGGTGGCACATGCCTATAGTCCCAGCTACTAATGTGATTGAGGTGGAAGGATCACCTGAGCCCAGAAAGTTGCGGCTGCAGTGAGCTGTGATCCTGCCACTGCACTCCAGCCTGGGCAGCAGAATGAGAACCTGTCTCAAAAAAATAATAAATGCATTCAATCCTTTTATAATCAGAAAAATACACAATAGACTTGTTTAAATGTTTGGGATGATCTATGAATACATTTTTTTTTTAAAAGTGCTATTAATGAAGTTTAAAAAAGTGAATGAGTGAGTGATATAGAATTAAATTCCCTCCAAAGAAACATTTTAGTACTTCATTAAATAGAAGGCTAAGGACAAAAGAATAAATGGCAATATTTGTATAATTAGTTACTTCCAATGACAGACTATGCCAGTAAACTAAATATAGAGATAACAACTTATTTTACTCCCAATTTTCCACTTATTCTTTCTAATTTTCTTTATTTCATGTCAAACATTCTTATCTAGATCACTCTTTTCATTTCAAGCTACAGAAGTGACAAGTGCCTAAGAAGGGGAAAAACTTTCACTTTTGGGGGTATACTTATGAGGAACAGGTGAGGAGCAAGCAAAGTAAAAAGCAAATGAGTAAATATGTCTCTACATGTGTTGAATCATGTCCATCCAAATGAGAAAAAATATATAGAAGTGTTGGTGGTTTGTAAGGAACTTGCTTCTTTCCTCACCTGATAACTGACTCTGGATCCACTTCTGCCTGGGTTGCTTTTCACCTAGGCTGCCTCCGTTATTACCCAGAGTTGCTCTCTCATCTTACTATTAAAGATACTTGGCTCAGCACTACTTAGAACTTCCTCTTGTTCGCTTCAGAAGCATATACACAAAAATTGGAACCCTACAGAAAAGATTAACATGGCCCCTGCACAACGATGACATGCAAATTCATGAAGCAATCCACATTTTTAAAATTATAAAAAGAAAAAAAAAAGAACTCCATATTATATGTGAAATATTGAAAATGGACTACCACACTTGTAGTGGGTCCTAATAGTCAACAGGCCTCTTTACAACTACATATGAATATAAGACCAAAGTCAAACCTCTGAAAACATTTGATCTAAGGGAGGGAATGTTATGGGAGTTCCAGCATCTGCTTTTAATGAATGATTTATAGAACAAAGGACCTGAATACATGTAAACAACATCAAATGATTTGAAAGAGGAATAATAAAATGTTACACACTACTATCCCTAAATTAGGATCATTTAATTTTGACAAGTTGATAGGTTTGATTCAGAAAACTGCATAAGGTACTATGAGAACCAAGAAAAATTTATGAAACAGGCTTTCAAAGATTTATCTAGTCATTCATTCAGTCATTTACATTTATTATCTCATTTAATCTTGTGCAGGCCAGGCGTGGTGGCTCATACCTGTAATCCCAGCACTTTGGGAGGCCAAGTTGGGTAGATCACTTGAGGCCAGGAGTTCGAGACCAGCCTGGCCATCTGGCGAAACTGTCTCTACTAAAAATACAAAAATTAGCTAGGCATGGTGGTACATGCCTATAATCCCAGCTACTCAGGAGGCTGAGGCATGAGGATCACTTGAACCCGGCATGGAGGCTGCAGTGAGTCAAAATCGCGTCACTGCACTTCAGCCTGGAAGACAGAGCGAGACTGTCTCGAGGGAAAAAAAAAAAAAAAAAAAAAAACACCTGCGCAACAAAGTGGACATCATCCCTACTCAGGGTTTAGAAACGAAAAGCACAGAAGCAGAAACATAGCATATGGTGAGTAGACCAGTTTGATTATGCACACTAAGAGTGTAATTAAGAATGGGAGTTATAATAAAGTCTGAAACTTCTGTCATTTATTTTCAGAGGAGCAGGCTACTGGTTGGCAAATTCAGATCCATCAGGAAAACTCGTAATAATGCATATGTTCATCACTTCCTGAAAACGCTGCACGTACAAAAAGTCATAATTCTTGGGCTAAAAATTTAGAATTCTGAGCATTTATCATGTGGGTCAGGAAAACTGGCCCCTGTTCCTCTGCCTCCCTTCACCTGGCATCACCCTAGCCTCAGTTACAATTTGGTCCCTCAGTACCTTCAACTGATTCTGAAAATGCCTGACGTGTTCAAAGGAGTTACTCCTGCATTCCTCCTTAGTTAAAGGAGATCAAAGGAGATCAAATATACAGGATGCCAATGTCTCAAATGAAGACTACACAATGATGTAGCCAGAAGAATTAAGAGAGCTCTGAAACATGTAATGCTTGAATTTTATAGCAAGTCAAAGCACAAATACAGAACTCTTGGTTCTGCATCATCTATAGAGCATACCTTGTATTGTACTTCAAACACTGAGCCATGTTCAAACTTACCAGTGTAATATTCCTCAAAGGAAGAATCCTCTAGTTTGAAATGTACTTAATGATTTCATCAATTTTTACTGGGTATTTTTAGCACCACGTGTTTCTAAGGGATGGGGAAAAGGGTGAGCCTTTCCACTCTTAAAGTGTCCTTTGGTAACTTACCTTTTTGAACCTACAAAACATGCTTGAAATGATCAAGGAATAATGCACGACAGTACATATTCATTCTACTACCTGAGCATACTCGTGTTCAAGTCAGTAGTATATGCTCTCAGAGAAGGGGTAAATGGAGGGCTGCAGGTAAAGTTGCAAACGTAAAAGTATATACAATCCCAATTTTTCTATTTTCACATATTGTTAAGAGAGATCATAATGTCTTGTTTCTTTCACTGAAGAATTCCAGTTGAGTGTGATATTTCAATCGTGAAATTAAAGCCCAGAAATATTATTTATTCAAGAACACAACAAATCATTAGCAGAAAAAAGTTATTTGAAAGAGGTGAACTATTTTCTGATATAAAGCTTAAATTCTAAAATACAAAAATTAGCCGGGCGTGGTGGCATGCACCTGTAATCCCAGCTACTCAGGAGGCTGAAGCAGGACAATTGCTTGAACCCAAGAGGCGGAGGTTGCAGTGAGCCACCAGTCTCCAGCCTGGGTGACAGAGCAGGACCCTGTCGCCAAAAAAAAAAAAAAAGAAGTAGAAATGAAGGTGTGGAGATGACATGCTACACTGAAACTGATGTTTTAAATCACAGAGACAAATCCCAAAATTTACCAGCCAACAGCCCAATTCCCTTTTAGTGATAAGTACCTCCTATATATGTAGTCATTTTTTTAAAATCTCAGTTAACATGGACATACTTTTAGCCAACTGTTTTCAATTATATATACTGCGATGTCCGTTTATTTTTCTACATTCTCAATAACAGTTAACACTAAAGAAACAATACTACTCAATTTCAAGAGTACATAATTATCCCTGAAATGTTGCCTAACAATGTTCCCTCTAGGGTCCTCTGTGTGCAAATTCCTACTTTATATATGAAGCACGTTTAAGATCTCAAAATGTGTTGAGGCTATTTCTACTACAAGAATTGCAATTCACAATCCAGCATGACAGGGCACAAAGTCCAACAGTACTGTAGGCTTTCTATTAAAAAATACTCATAGTAAAATAAGGGTCACAAACAGCCCAATTGCTCAAACTTGAACAAACCACTCAATAATGAATAACACTGATAAATAACCATACAAAACCAATAATTATAAGAATCAAAGATCTCAACCCAATTAGAAAATAGTTTAAAAGATCATCTTTTAACATCAAGATAAGAATGGTGAAGAGACTATTTCTATTTTAATGACATAACCCAATTTTTGTTTTATGTTAGATTACTTTTCAAACCTCATTTACCATTTTGATCCTAAAGCATATGAAATAGATTTACAAAGGAAAAGTATGTCCTATTCAGTTTAATCCAACCTTTTGTGCTGGGAATTATAGATCCTGAGTAGAAAAAAAGGTAAAATTATGATGTACACTGGAAACTAAAATAAATGATTTTATATTAAAGATTCAATTTAGGAGTAATGTAGGAATGGGGAAAGGAGAAAGACTAAATTCTCATCTTCTAAATTCAAGAGAAGATTAAAATCACTCACACACACACACACACACACACACACACACACACGACATTAAGAACAGCAGAATAAACATGTTATTGATAAATTTAGAGGTAAAATGCCAGAAGAAACAGAAATCTTACTTCAGGGGAGCAACTCAAAGAAGAGAGATGGAATTTAACTTGAATTGCCAGGGAAGACAGAGTGGGTGGGAGAGAAAGAATATGAACAATGAGAAAATGAGTTTAGACTATGCTAGAACTGTGAAGGACAACTCTGGCTGGATAAAATGGCTTCTGCTGGGGAGCAGAAATGCTAGACAACGCTTGGGCGATCCCTACACAATTGACACCACATTATGTTCTTCTATTGGAGAGTGCTTCACCAAAAGTAGTCTAACCAAAGTATATACGAGGGCAGAGTGATTTGAAACAAAAGAAACTACAAGTCAAGAGACATAGGCAGAAGACAACAAAAACAGACCTAACATTCTATCAAGGAGGCAGCTCCACAGTTTCCGTAAAATGTAGTATTTTAATTTAGCAGTTTTCCACGATAATTCTTTTTTTTTTTTTTTTGAGACAAGAGTCTCATTCTTGTTGCCCAGGCTTGAATGCAACAGTGGGATCTCAGCTCACTGCAACCTCCGCCTCCCGGGTTCAAGCGATTCTCCTGCCTCAGCTCCTGACTAGCTGGGATTACAGACTTGCACCACCACGCCCAGCTAATTTTGTATTTTTAGTAGAGACGGAGTTTCTCCATGTTGGTCAGGCTGGTCTCAAACTCCCGACCTCAAGTGATCTGCCTGTCTCGGCCTCCCAAAGTGCTAGGATTACAGGCGTGAGCTACTGTGCCCGCCCCATGATATTCTTTAACCATAAATATCAAGCTATTATACTTCAATCTTATACAACTGTTAATAAAATCCTAAATGAAGCATGCAAGCCACACTTAACAGGTTCTCAGAGACAGATCTAATAATTTCTACGAACCATACTTAAAAGCTTTATTTTTATAACATCATTTAACACTCCACAACAAATAGTCATATTGTTATAATATACATTATGCATTTTCAAAATTTTTTCCTTTGACTCCATAAAAGGATAGCAACAGAACCACAATGCTAGTAAACACCATATTTTCAAATTCATACCAAAATCATGGTGATTTCAAACATTTGGTAAGACTACTTCTTTAAAATTAGAAAACAGCTGATGTCATTATTTTAGGGGTAAAATCAGTATACGATATGACATTTCTTATATTGCCATTATGTAGAAAGATTTATAGTAGAAACACCTACCTTATTTAATGCAAATTGTGTATATAAAAACTGATTCACAAATATTTGATTGGCAAGCTTTCTCTAGTACAAGAAATTACCAACATCATAAAAAATTCTCCTTATTTTTTTCTAAATATTACTACCACCAGTTTCACTACTAATAGCAAACAGCTACCATTACACAATAACCAGATGTTAGGTTCTGTATTAGCTACTTTATTTATGCTATCTTATTCAATACCATAAAATTCATCACAAAAAAGGCAAGCTTAAGTGAGTAATTTCAAGCTTAATAGAATTTATGTAATCTTTTTCTTAACATTTTAAATTGTTTCCTTAAACTAATGAGGAAAAAAATGTTAGAAAAAAAAGTGTAAAGTCAACCAAAAGCAAAAATATGAAACTGTATTCTTAACCATCTTTCCAGAAATGAATATTCTTGTCGAAAGAGAAATGTTCTGAAATCTAACTCTAATCTACAATGCTTTCCCCCTGCTGCCAAGTTGCTACACAGATGCCACAGTCAGAAAATTTTACCAAGTGTGATCACACTTTTCAAAGAAAGGACCCCATTTACTAACAGCACACTACGAATCAAACAGGCAGCCATCCCTCAATCGCCTCCATTCCCCTTACAATCCTATCATCTGCCTTTCAGCCTTGTTTGGTCACCTCCCAGACCTTCCTTCCTCTTACTGGTCTGTCTCATTTCTCATCATCCTACCTCATTCTGCAAAAAAAAGTTCATAAGGGCTGTTAAGAAACATTTGTATAGAGCACTAAAAGTGCATCAGGAAAAGGTTTTATATAAATGTTAACTCCAAATATATAATAAAGATCTTTTATGTCTATACATTTTTTAAAAGATGGTACCCTCCTTGACAAAGGATGGTATGCAACGTCAAGTTTTACATCCTAAAATACGTATCAGGTTCCCCATCCAGTAGTACAAAGTAGTTCCTTCCACTCCAACATGACACTCCCTTTAAATAACAACTATAAATTATGAAGAAGATATTAAAATCTGCAAAAACCTGAGTTACCAAATGCAGGAAGATCCTGGGGGAGGGGAAAGAGTTTACCACCAGAAGGAGGAAATGGCACTGAATCAATCATCCTCATTCTCATCACAGTTGTCCACCTACCCCTCCACCCCCCTTTTTAAACAGTTTGTAGCATAGGGCAGACTGAACCACAACAGCTAAAACTAACAGAAACCCGACCTTGGTTCTTAGTGGCAAAGAACCAGAGGACTGAGTTAAAGAGACCACAGCTGCTGAAAATGAGAATAGAAATTCTGGAAAGAAGAGAATCAAAGACACAAACTCTGCCCAAATCTCTGGCCAATTCCTACACTATGTGCATGGTGCAGGCTCTCAACAGCCCTCGGAAGGCTAAAACAGTGGTTTTCAACCAGGGGTGACTTGCCCTCCCAAGGAAAATCTGGCACTATCTGGAGACATTTTGGGTTGTCACGACTGAGGGAGGAGGGTGTGACTGGCATCAGGTAGGGAGAGATCAGGGATGCTGCTGAAAATCCTACAATGCACAGGACAGCTCTCACAATTATCCAGCCCAAGAATCAACAGTGCCAAGGCTGAGAAACCCTAGGATAAAAGAAGTAAAGAAATTTCAGCTTCTGCCCACCACAAAAGAGACAATAGTTTGGAATCTGAATTCAGCCAAAGTTAACCCCTTGCTTAAAAAAGAAAGAAAAGAAAAGAGGAGAGGGGAGGGGAGGGGAGGGGAGACCAAAATTCAGCCAAAATTAACTCCTTGCTTAAAAAAGAAAAAAAAAAGGAGAAAAGAAAAGGCCAAATCAACAACACGTTCAAAGATAACAGAATCCAGTCTCCACACTATATCATTGTTCAGAATATAATTCAAAATTATTCAACATATGAAAAAACAAGAAAAATCTAACCCATATTCAAGAGAAAACACAACCAATGGAGAAAAATCCAGATTTTTTTTAGTAGCAAAAATCTGTAAGCAATTATTGTAAGCAGCTTAAGGACATAAAGGAAAATGTGCTCACAATGAATAAACAAATACAAAATGACAGCTGAGAAATGGAAATAAAAAAGGTCCAATGGAAATTATGGAACTGAAAATGACATTATCGGAAATAAAATATACACTTTCCAGTTATTTAAATCTTCTTTTAAAATCTGCCTTCTTTTATGTCCACACCATAGTAGTGTTCACTAAATTCTTTTCTATAAAGATGGGATCTCACTGTGTTGCCCAGGCTGGACTTGAACTCCTGAACTCCTGGGCTCAAGCAATCCTCCTGCCTCAGTCTCTCAACTAGCTAGGACTATATGCATATGCCACAGCACCCGGCGATTTTCACTAAGTCTTGACTATAATAATATAAACCAGAAACTAAATGGAAATGAAAAGGATGATATCATCTAAACATTTGATATTATTAAATCAATGGGTTCAGTCTGAAAACATACCATAAGTATTACAGTATCCTTTTAGGATTAGTAATAGAGGTGGCAGAAATATATGGTAGACTATAACAGGAATTCATAAGTAATAATCTCAAGAGTCTTAAATTTTTAAGCCACAATGGAAAATTAATTTATACTTAGTACAGCTGAAATTTTCCAAATTAAAATTAAGACAACATTCCCCTCTCGCCTACACAGATGAACTGTTTTCTCATTTTGTAAATAAATACAAAATAAATGTGGAAATGAAAAAATATAGTAATAGCATAAAAACAGGAGCAGTCATTTCCCTCAGACAAGTCTGTTTTTAACTTGCCATAAAATTCCCCCCATGTTACTGAGATGCCATGAAAAAAGAATGGAAACAACCTTCCAGGCATATTCATTTTTACACTTTCTCTAAATTCTAAGATACTTCAGCAAAGTATGCCAAATTTAGCTACATTTACAAAGCAGAGGATAAGACATTCCTTTTTAAATGTAGTCAACTTCTAGAGTAATCCATTTCATTAATCTATGAGAATGATCTAGTTGATATACTGCAATATCATTCTACGGTACTTAGGCTCAGTCTATTATTTGGTCAGAAAAACATACCATGAACAACATCCTAAATGAGGCTGAGATATGAGTAAACTGAACAGTACTTCCCTCATGCTACCAAAAGGTTAAACTTTGAACCTTTATTCATTCATGCTCTGAAGCTTCAACTGACTTTGTTTCCAACAGGGAAAGTGGCTTTTGGCTAAGACACCTTAAGCAAAGGTGAATAGGTGGTCACCTCTGTAATAAAAAACTGAAATTAACACCTCAACTCCCATTTGGGACCTACAATTTCTCCTTCCATTTCTTGATCTGATTATGAGTATCGTTACTCAAGTTAACATAATCCTTCCCTCTCTACAAACATGTTCTTTTAAAATTTTCCAACTCTTGGGAAGAATGATATCAAATCTCTTGCAGTGGTGAATACAAGAGTTACTTTCTGCTTACAGCAGAACTAAATACAATGAAGGTAACATGCTCTGAGTGGTAGAGAAAAAAAGAATAAAAGATATGGATATATACAGAGACATACATGGATAGGACATGTCCAGACTTCACCAACTTCACTTCACTTAGAGAATCAGAGAATCAGAAAGCTAAAAGACAACTTAGAAATAAATGCTAAAACTGAAGTCCCAAAGGATTCACTAGGTCCCACAAGGTCAAATAGTTAATGGAAGATCATCTACATTTCCGGATGAACGGTCTATTGAACAAGGAGAGATTTGTTTTGAGCTTAGTTTCAGTTATTTAGCAGGAATTTAAAAAGGAATTACAATAATGGTATTCTCTCAACCTCTCCAGTATATTAAAAAACAAGGTATAGGTCAGGCGCAGTGGCTGATGCCTGTAATCCCAGCACTTTGGGAGGCCAAGGCAGGTGGATCACGTGAGGTCAAGAGTTCGAGACTAGCCTGGCCAACATGGTGAAATCCCGTCTCTACTAAAAATACAAAATTAGCCAGGTGTTGGTGATGCATGCCTGTGATCCCAGCTACTTGGGAGGCTGAGGCAGGAGAATTGCTTGAACCTGGAGGACATTGCAGTGAGCTGACATCGCACCTGTGCACTCCAGCCTGGGTGACAGAGCGGAACTCTGTCTCAAAAAAAAAAAAAAAAAAAAAGAATTAAAAAACAAGGTATATCTTTTACTATAAAAAAGAATTTAAAAAACAAGGTATCTCTTTTACTATAAGGTATTTTCAATCCTTCTTGAAAATAGCACATATTTAAATATATTTTACTTTAAAGTGTAAAAATCAATAATTATTGTTGACATATACTGTTTAGACCACTAATAGCACAAATGAAAAATAAAAACTAACAGTCATAACTTCTTTTAAGTTATTAAGAAAAAAAGGAAAAACTAGAAGAGTTGGATAGAAAGCAAATACTGTATTTAACTATCATCACCTCTGGCTGAAGTGGTCTTTCAATTTAACATTCCCCTATATATGTTTATGAAACTACAGAGCAAAGTACCTGGTACACGAAAGATACTTTTTAAAATTATAGCTACCACTATTAAGCTTTATCACAAGCCCTTATTAAGTGTTTGTCTGCTCCCTTCCTGGAATCAACAGTTTTGTGTTTTGCAGCTACTTGTAAAAACTACTGCAAAAGCTCTACATTCAGTATCTTCACTTCAACTCCCATTTATAATGCAAGCTACTGCAATCTGAATTTCACCACTTGAAACTGCCAATGTTATAGTCACCATGACTACATAATTGCCAAATCTAATAGTCTTTATAGTACATGTTTTACATGCCTCTATGGCAGACACAGCTGATCAATCTTGAAACTTTAAAATTCCATGGTTCTGGTAACACCAGTCTCTCTTGGTTCTCATTTCCAGTTGACTCTTCAGTCTCCTTTATGTATTCTTGTTTCTGTACCCATTCTACAAATGTTGATGATCCCCAAGACTCTAACTCACTTTTCACACAATCCCCAAATATATTCAAATGGCAGAATACTGTAACTCCCTCAGATAGACTCTCAGAAAATGAGTAAATGTTTTATAGAGCTACCAAAAAAAAGCTGTAAAACTATTATGCATGATTATGTAAGTCCAAATTGTCCCATTAATATTTGTCTATGGACTTCCCATCAGCAAGCCCTTATTAACAGATAGGCACCACATGTGCAAAGTAAATTTATGAGTAAAACAGAAAAAATCATAGATAGCTACTGATCTCATTTTTCTGGACACTAAAAAGAGGCTTGCTTTACCGTTCACACTTGAAGTGTCTGCTCACCTTCTAGACTAGGGATCCCTTCTCCGCCTTCTTATCTGGGCATCTCTAAAAGCTAAATAACACAGATGACTGGGCTATAACAGAGTCTGGGGAAAAAGAGGAGGATGGAGAGAAGGCGTACCACTCAAGAACAGGGCAGGTTTGCCCATGAGTCAGTGATAGCTAATTAATTCAGAAAATGGAATAGCAGGTTGTTATCTTTGAGGAGATAAAGGGGAGGGGAGGATGAAATAAGGAAAGGAAGGGAAAGTTTCAAAATACTAAATATGGTTCTCCTACATCAAAACATTTCTGGTATGAGTTAATAATGTATTGTTACACAAAATACACGCTTTGCTATTAAACCAAAAAACGTATTTACATTTCTTAAATATGTATGTTAGGTAATCTAAGAAAATAAAAAAGAAGTTTTAAAAAGTCTGAAGTTAAGAGGAGAGAAGACAAAAACGATAGTTAAAGTAATATACTTTCAGTGTGTATGGGTATATGTGTGGTGGGGGGGGTGTGTGCACATGTGCTATCAGCACATACAAAAGTAATTAGAATATCTGAAAACATGTGATGCTCTCTGGAGTATCACCCAAGAACAGAGTAGATTTGCCCAAGAGTCAGTGACAGCAAATTAACCCAGAAAATGAATTAGCAAGTTACTATTTTTGTTAACTTAGCTTCTGTATACCTGATACCAGAAAAGATCAAAGGCCCACTGTTATTGAGGGCAATAAACTGTTTCCTAAAAATGACATTCAAAGACTAAAGTGTATAGATTTCAAATTCTCCTGTAATAAAATGTGGATTGAGATTAAATTAGAAAACAAATGCCTTCCCAAGAGAGAGAACCTGCATGATTGGAATAATTTCCAAATGATTTTCACCGGTTTGTTTTAAAACATATTCTGAATGCAAAAGCTTTTTTTCAAGTTCAACCTAGACCTTAGAAAACAGAAATTTTGTATGTTTGATTTTAGTTGTCACCACTCAAGGGCAAACCCAAAGTTGTATTTTCTACTTATTCTTTTCCCAAGGATATGAATAATAAAAGATGTCAATATAGAGAAAAAATTATATTGAATGAATTTCTATGTTTCTAAAACTACCTAATCAAATACATATTTTTAATATATAATATGCAAATAATCTACTTTAGAATTCTCCTGAACATCAACTCATATCAAATATTAAGAACCCTTTTAGGAGTCCATTAGTAAATGAAATCATAGCACAAGAACTTTAAAGGAGTACAGAAAGAAATTATAGCACAAAAAATCATATGCTATTATTCTAACAGGGAGAACTCATTCATCAGTATTTTTTCACCATGATTAGAATATCTAAAATATGCAGTATGAGAAATTAGTAATACTAATAATCAGTAATGCTAGTAATCCTAGCATATACTATCTATATGCTAAGATTATAGATATTATATATAGATACTATATGCTAGTATTACACTATACTTAGAAATAAGAGCTTTTCTAAAACATAAATTTGTACATTTAATTTGTTTAGCACTGGGCAACAGGTTTTCCTCTCCATTAGCCACTAAATGGATCTGTACCAATGTACCAAAAAAGACACAACTAAACTTAAGAAAAATTAATTTAATTCATTTCTCTCTCTCAACTAAATTATAAACTGCCACATAAATTATCTAATTTAATCTTCACTATAACCCTCTAAGACATTATGATTTTCAACTCAATAATAATAAAAATTCAGCTGAGATAAACTTTGTCCAAAATCTAACTTGCAAGTGGAAGAATAAGATGTGAACCCAATTCTCTTCTAATGCTAAATGCTCTCCTTCACAGCATGACTGTCCATTTAAAACTGTCCAACTCAGGCATGACTACTGAGATCCTATTTCAACATCTACCAAGAGGCTCTATTTTCCACTCAGAGAATAAAAGGAGGAAAAGTCATCATACCTAATAAAGTTTTATTAAAGCAAACGCCAATTTTTAAATTCATCTTTGGTTTAAATGTTTTCTAATTGTTAAGCTTTTCTGAAATACTGTTTCAAAATAATTTACATTTCTGCACTGAAGGAAAACAAAGTCCCATATTCAATCATGAACATAAAGTCTAAAATCCATTCAATTACAGTGCTCATATATCAGCAGCCTCCCATTTATATTGAATCAAATTCCCAAATACATTACATGCATTATTTACATCAGGCTTGCTAAAGTTATGAAGATTTTTGGAGCCAAAATGAGTGTAAAGATATACAAACTCTATATAAAATAGGCTGATAATGATAGTTATTTTTTACTATTAACATACTAATTGCTACTCCTTCAATCCCTACTTTTTATCTACATTTCCTCTTCATCCCCAAGTGGCTGTCAAATCATCCTGTATTTTATGGTCTAAAGCTATTTTATGACTAGCTCATTTAACTCACCAGTGACCAGTGACACAATCCATGTTAGGCATGGACAGATGTACTCAGAATGATAAAGAAGGTCACTGGGATAAAGCACTCCATATTTAAGTCTGCAGAGTCATAAACATAAAAGCCAAATTTAAACCACTCAGAAGATTTAAATTTAAGTCCTCTGTAAATTTAAGGAGAATGCTAAGATTAAAAGTAAAAACCAAAGGCCAGGCACAGGGGCTCACACCTGTAATCCCAGAACTTTGGGAGGCCAAGGTAGGTGGACTGCTTTGAGCTCAGGAGTTCAAGACCAGCCATGGCAAAACCCTGTCTTTACAAAAAATTTAAAAATGAGCTGGGTGTGGTGGTGTGTGCCTACAGTCCCAGCTACTTGGGAGGCTGAAGTGGGAGGATCGCTTGAACCCGGGAGGCAGAGGTTGCAGTGAGCCGAGATCACGCCACTGGCACTCCTGCCTGGATAACAAAGCAAGACCCTGTCTCAAAAACTTAAAGAAGTAAAAATAAATGAAAGTAAAAACTCATGAAACACATTAGTTAAGCCGAATCTATACATATATATTTATAAGGGGAAAAAAATCCCATTTCATCAAAGTATCTGTAAACAGAATCAAACTTTCACACACCCATACACATTGCTACTTTTTAAAGGATTTTGAATGTACTGAAAAGGAAAATGCTTCAAAGAAGTTTATGGTGATTTGACAAAGAAAACTTCCGGTCCCTAATTTATCTGATTTGAAAATTTTCATAAATTATGTTTGGTTAATGAGAAGATTCCACAACCATTTCATTAAAGATTTAAGGCAGACAGGTTGAGTGAGAAGACTACTAATTAAGTCTCTGCTAGAAACTAGGAAAGTTAAGCAAGCAAAGGTTCCTAATGAGGCAGGAGTTTCCAGCTGAAATTTTGCAACCAAAAGAAAAGACCTAATCTTAAAACTACTATGTAAGGCTTCAAGGGCTCTAATCTGCACCCAGTACCTGGGACACTTAGGGCAAGTACACTGATAATAAAACAAAATTTAAATTGAATACCATGCTCATCAATAATGAATATTCACCATCAACTTATGATTCCAACTACATGTGTGCTACATTCAGAGGTAGCCAAAGTAAATTTTAAATTCTGAGGGTTTTGTTTTCCGATTCTGGTGTGACTGATCTAAAATTCCATGTCTGTATAGTATCAAGGATTGCATTTAAACACACACATATGATGGCTAAAAGTTTAGGATTGTTTAGGAAAGTAATTCACAGTTCTGGTTTTACAATCGTCAAAGATGTGTTGATCTTCTTTAAGGGGCACCAATGAATTCCACAAAAATTGTCACCATTTCTTCACTGTTTTTAAACTTATTCCATACAACACTTTTAAAAAATCAATGATGAGGCCGGGCGCAATGGCTCGCACCTATAATCCCAGCAGTTTGAGAGGCCAAGGTGGGCAGATGGCTTGAGTTCAGGAGTTCGAGACCAGCCTGGGCAACACAGCAAAATCCCATCTCTACCAAAAATACAAAAAATTAGCCAGGTGTGGTGGCATACACCTGTGGTCCCAGCTACTTGGGAGGCTGAGTTGGGAGGATCACCTGAGCCTGGGAAGTCGAGGCTGAGGTGAGCCAAGATGGCACCACTGTACTCCAGCCTGGGTGACAGAGTGAGACACAGCCTCAAAAAAAAAAAAAAAAAAAAAAAAAAAGTCAAAGATGAGGAAGGAAAATGGAAAATAACAAAACAGATTATCTTAATTCCAAATAGTATAGTAATATGTGGCTTGAACATGAGTATATTGGCAATCACCTTTCTAAT